>NC_000022.11:30830776-30982291 GCF_000001405.40 Homo sapiens | reverse complement strand
AATCTTAATACCTTCACTCAACATAATCCCCCCTAAAGGGAGATCTTCCTCTTAAAGGGAGATAACCTAAAATAATTTCTAGTTATAAGCCTAAGATTTCTGGGTGATGCTCATTCTTCTCTAGTTCTTAACCCCATCTTGATAATCTGCAACTTACGGATTTCCTGATATATTTAACCATCACCAACACACTCATACACATCAGTGAGGGGACACTACCACTAGAATGGCTCAGCTCCAATGGAGGAGAAATCTGATTGGATTAACTTGCATCATGCTCAAACTTCAGCCAGGAAATGTTAGGGCAGAATACTGTAATGAATAAAGAGGAGAGGGGGAAATAAAATAAGGCAACCTAAAAGATATGGGGTAGAGGCTACAGATCTTACTTCTCCAACAGGTTATGGGGCTATAACTGCTATTTATCTCTTCCTCTTTGACTATACTTTTTTGTTTAATTCAGTCAGGGATTTTTGACTAATAGGGTAACCCAAACCTTCATTCCTGAGATATTTCGAGGATTGGGATTCTCTAAATCTTCTGAATCTTCCCAGGTATCAGCACTCTATACAGTCTCTTTTCTGATTAATACCTTAACTCTCACAAAAGAGACGTTAGTAATGCTACAAATTCAACCAGCATTGTAATTTTGCAATTTGAATAATTAATCTCCAAGTACTAGTGTGGATTTAAGCACCGAGATTCATTTATCCTGGCCACAAAAAGGGCCTGTATTTTATTCTATGCCCACAGGTCAGTTTCTGGGTTTGAGCTGATGCCCTTCACTTTAAGACAGCTACCGGGGCCAGGGGCGGTAGCTCATGCCTGTAATCCCGGCACTTTGGGAGGCTGAGGTGGGCGGATCACTTGAGGTCAGGAGTTCAAAACCACCCTGGCCAACATCTCTACTAAAAATACAAAAATGAGTTCAGCATGATCGCGTGTGCCTGTAATCCCAGCTACTTGGGAGGCTGAGGCAGGAGAACCACTTGAACCCAGGAGGCAGAGGTTGCAGTGAGCTGAGATCGCACCATTGCACTCCAGCCTGGGCGTTGCAGCGAGACTCTGTCTCAAAGTATATATATATATATAAATAAAATTAAAAAAAATAAAATAGCTAATGCAATCAAAGTAACCATTCTAACTCAGTGGTCCTGGCCTGCTTTATCCACTTTATTTTTTTGAGACAGAATCTCACTCTGTCACCTAGGCTGGAGTGCAGTGGCACAATCTCAGCTCACTGCAAACACTGCTTCCCAGGTTCAAGAGATTCTCCTGCCTCAGCCTCCCAAGTAGCTGGGATTACAGGTACCCAACACCATGCTCAGCTAATTTTTTCTTTCTTTTTTTTTGAGATGGAGTCTTGCTCTGTTGCCCAGGCTAGAGTGCAACAGTGCGATCTTGGCTCACCACAACCTCTGCCTCCTGGGTTCAAGTCATTCTCCAGCCTCAGCCTCCCGAGTAGCTGGGATTACATGATTAACCATCATGCCTGGCTAATTTTTGTATTTTTGTAGAGACGGGGTTTCATCATGTGGCCAGGCTGGTCTTGAATTCCTTGACCTAAGGTGCTCCACCCACCTTGGTCTCCCAAAGTGCTGGGATTACAGGTGTGAGCCACTGTGCCCAGTCTATCCACTTTAAATTGTCCTATTGTCAACAATTACCTGGCCCTCCAAATTCTACTCTCAACAGGCACGATTCCAAATGACAAGAAATGATATCATTACTGTTTTGTCACCCTTAACTCGTAGATTTATCCTCCCAGGGACACAGAACAAGAGCTGGTGCCATTATCTGTCTCAGTACAATAATCAATTCCAGATCCTCCATATGTTCCTGTGGGTTAAAGGCCTACCATTTAACTCTCCGGCCTCCATTTCTGTAATTAGTCAGTCATTTGGTCACCAGCAATAGAAACCCATTTTGGCTGACAAAAAGGAAACTTATTTTAAGGAGGCTATGTGGTAGTTTATACAATCAAAGGAAAACTTGGACAACCAGGCTTGGAGAATAGGAGCCAGCATACTTTGGAGATCTCCTTTCATAAACTTTTAAATGGTTTCTTTAGAACACTACGATCAGAATGACTCAACTCTGATCACTTTGTGGTCACCTTTCTTAAGAATCAAAGTCCTTGTGGGACAGAACGAGCTTGCATTGCTCAAACCTCAGCCAGGGGGCATGAGGCCGGAGTACTGTCATCTACATTTCCACTACCACCACACAGAATGGGAAGGAGCAGCTTTCTAAAGGATAAGTGGGGATGTATGATTAAAGTAAAGGGGAAGTGATTTTTGGCAAGCCAAAGCAATGGATGTCCACTATACCTATATTTACATGATGGGGAGAAGAACCTACAATAAAGGAGTAGTCTGCAAGTTGAAAAGAAAATTAAAAGTATTATAGCACTTAAGGGAAGTGTTTCAAGAAGCTGGTGGGAGTTACCTGTGCTGCTGAAAGTTCATATTAGATGCAGGTGTAACGGATTTAGCAATGAAAAGGTCACTATTGACCTTAATTGCAGTGACATCAGAATATTTCAAGGATTTTTTAAAAAAAGTGACTTTCCCCCTGCTTTCTGCCTAATGTGGATACTGCAATAGTCTTAGCAGATCAACATCAGTCAAGAACTAGAATAATCTTTGATAAACCTTAAAACCACAAAATTCTGATAATCCAAATAAACTCACTTGAAGGAGACATGCTTAAAAAACTAAGGAACAATTACTAAGCTCTGAGTTTCTCAAACAAGCAATGGTATAGCAATCTGTCAACTTGAGTAATGAATGATTTATATTTAATATTTACTAACATAAAAGTAGGCATTTTAAATCATTTGATAAAACAGGCTCAGTGTTGAATAACTTGCCAAGGTCAAACAGTAAGCACTAAATTTAATTTTAAAAATTCTTTATTTAAAATAAAGTTTAAAAATAATGTGGGTAGTGTAAAATATTAATACAGAAATGTATAAAGTTGAAAGTTTCATGTGATCTACACTGTTCAAAGAAAGCTGTGAATAGACCTTTCTATGCATTTATAAACATAAGCACACACATTTTAAAATGAGTTCACACTGTACACTTTTCTATTAATAACTTGTTTCACCTAATGTATCATGGCCATTTTTCCATACACAATGAATGTACTTTATTCATTTTAACAGATACGAGATATTCCTATATGGCTGAACCACACCTTAACCTATCCTTTAATGACAGACATTTAGGTTTTCTATTACTTTCTACCATGTCATTTTTACGCTTCTGTGGGATCTTAAATATTCCCTCAGTTCCTGTTTCATTTTGTCTTCCACTTTGGAAAGTAATTTCAGTGACCATGACCTCTAGCTTAATAAATACTTGGATCTGTCAAGTCTCAATGTTGGTAGATATATTAGTGTGGATTCAATTTCAAGTAACAGAAACCCAACTCAAAGTAACTTAAGCAAAAAAGGGTATTTATTGGTTCACATAACTGAAAAGTCCAGGGGATATTCTAGCTTCAGGCACGGTTGGATCCAGGGGCACAAACGCTGTCATCAGGATTCAAGTCTCTCCATATTTTGGCTCTGCTTTCCCCTGCACTGGCTTCATTCTCTACATGGTAGGCCCTGTTAGTTTGAGGTTTTCATCCTACAAAGCTAAAGCACCCTCAGTAAAGAGAGCTTCTCCTCCACAGTTCAGATGGATTTGCTGATTGATGAGGTCTGAATTACATGTTCACCCACAAAGCTCAAGGTTGGGTCAGACTGTCCAAACCACAGACTGAAAATAGGAAGAGGTGGTTTTAAGAAACATCAGGGAGTTGTTACAAGATGGAACGGATGCTGGGCAATTAAAAACTACTGATGTCCAGGATAAGAACAGATATGAAAAAGCTTAATCTCTGCTTAAGAAGTTGAATGGTAACAGCTGGCATGGTTTCTTCCTTGGTTATAAAAGTATTCTAAAAAAACACCATGAGAGATAAGTTTGTCCTGTCCTCAAGAAGTCTGTAATCCATTTGAATGGAATAATAATCATGTCCAATAGCATATGTTGGATGAAACCACAGTTTCAACACAAGCAAACTCAGTGGTCATGAGTCTGAGAGCCCAACTGTCCTGCTGATCTGAAGTAAGACAACTAGCCTTCTACATCAAATAATTCTGTGAGGCAATTTGAGTCAGCTGTAAATTTTAAGTACAGTGGAAACTTTTCTTCTTTTGCTAGGTTGAACTGGTACAGTTCTGTGTGTACTGGTGAATCGGACTCATTTCTGCACTACTGAAGGAGAGAAATGGACGCGGCTTTCGAACTGCTGTATTCCTTCCAGACCCGATAGATGAGGTTCCAGGTGCTGAAAATGAACAATTACATACAGGAATAGAGGCCTACTCTGCACTTAAAAATATCTTCAAAAAAGTTGCTGGTCAAGGAGTATGCAGCAATGGTCCTTCCTGTTGTGAACATTGAGTCCTAGTGGGTGAGGTGTGGGTTGTTACTATTAAAAATCCTTGTTGTATTGGGCACAAGATAGACTGAAATTGACTGTAGTCCTCACGGTGAGTCTAATTGCAGCAACATGTGAAAAAGGCAGGCAAGAGCTGAGTCAGGAAAATAGACAAGCAGGGTACCTTCAGAAAGGCCAGCCATACCAATAGCCAGAATATGATCTGGAAGAACCAGCAGATCAATAAGGAAGTTCTGTAAATTAGTTTTTACTCTGGGTACTCAGGGGTTAATCCATAGGGCTTATTCTGGATACAGTTTTCTGATCTTACAGAGCCAGTCAGGTACATCAGCTTTCAGTTTCTTGCTCATCTGCCAAAGAACTTTCAGCTCAGGAGAAGGCCTTATCCTCAATCAGACTTGAGGTTCTGTTTAGGAGTCTATGCTACATCTGGGAGTGACAGGGTCAGCAGAGCCAGATTTGTCAAAGTTGGCCCTACTTTCTTTGGTAATCAAGTCGTCATCTTTTTTAACTCAGCCGATCTCTGAGAATCATCTTACAAGCAAGTCAAGGCCTCAGATTGGTTGAATGGTGCTGTTCAAAGATTTAGATGAGATCTGAGGCATGGAGACATGGAGACAGTATACAGACTCCTAGATTTAAGTTTTAGGTTTTTTGCTTTTCTAATCACCAATTCTTATATACAATGTATATTTTAGACTCGAGCAGATGATCATCTTCATCTTAAGTCATTCCTTTTGACTGAGTATGGCAGGATTAGAGGGAATGGCAGTATAGATCAATGTCTTTTTCTGTAAAGTATAGGAAAAACCAGAGAGGAAAAAAAGAGCTGACAATTGGAAGGTAGTAGAAAATTGACGATAATTTCTTCTTAACAAATAATAGTTGTATATACAAGGAGGCTAGTCAACCAGATTTTATTTGTTGAGGGCGAGCAGTCTACAGCAACCAGACCTAGGCCTTGTTTGACGAGATGTAGAGTCGAGTCATGTAATCACAATTGGCCTAGAGAGAGACAAGGATATAAACAAACTATTTCCAATGTTTAACCAGTGCATTCATTCGAGTAGCTCAGGATAGCTGGCCTTTAAATTGACTGGGAAGTAAAGAATGAGTTTTCTCATGACACACATCAAAGTCTCCTTGTTCAACATGATCTGGTCTGAGAGTTCATAAACTGAATCCTTCCTGCTGAAACAGATAAGTTGTCTTTATGTCTGTTACAATGCCTGCCTTAAATATATATCATGGCAAGGAATGAAGTCAGCTGCTCTGAGTCAGTGTAAAATGACAGTATTGAGACTGATGTGGTTCCACTAAAATATCCACAAGGACAAAAGCTCTTAAGTCTACCGATAAAATCCTTAGCTGCAGTCTTCATAGATTTTGTTTTTCAAATCAGTTTGTTTCCAGCAAAAAGGTAGGCAATAAGCTATCGGAAATGCCCAGCAAGTAAGCTAATGGCCTGCTCAAAGGGCCAGCCTCCAACTCTCCCTACCACCTATATTTGGTGGTATCAGACATCAAAAGATTCATCTTAAAAGAACATCTCTCGGCACAAGGCAGAGCAATTAAAAAAAAAATCTATTACTGGCTAGAAGAAACTTTTCCAAATGGTTTCATTTTAAATCACATGAGAAGGGGTGTTCAAAGATTGTCGCTTGAAGTTCAACTGTTAAAGTGAGCTGAATAGTCATAATAATTCTGGAGAATAGGCAGATATGCCAGTGATGAAGAAAAAAGAATTCAGCCTTTTTTTTTTTTTTTTTTAAAGCTTATTAGCTCATTTATCTTGGAAACAGTAGTTAAACTGAATAAAAACCAAGGGGCAATATAACTGCTACTGGTTGAGTCATACAGTGATGTGTAGTTTGGAAAAGAAGACGAATGATAGATATTGAGCCCCTTTAGGAAATGTTGCCAGTATTTGAATTTGGCTTTCATAGTTATCTCTTGCACACGAAGTAGAGTACCATGGCTGATAACAAGAGGTCAAATGTACAAGTTGCTCTAATATGGCCTCAATGAGGCACCAGCTTCAAAACCCGCTTGCTGATAATTCAGGTATTCATGGAGGGTCAAGACTTCAAAGTCATGTACTTCAAGTACCAGTAGAGCATCTGGTGTTGCTTAAGGGAGTCTGTCAGTGTAGGGTGCATAGAATTGTTCTCTGGCTATATCCCATTCTAGGAATCACTGGATATCCATCTGGAGTGGAGGGCTGTTAATCTAGGTTCACTTGACACCATCTTCAGCAAATGATCATTCCTGGGGTCAAAGACATGCCTGTCTTCTTGCACTTTTCTAAGTTCACACACAGTATTTCTAAGAATGTTCAGCATCTACTGAACATGAACTGTGCTGAGTGGAGGTACAGAAAAGATTGGAATGCCATTCAGGTCAAACATATTGCTGTCTGGGGCAGTGGTTTTCAAACTGTGTTCGGAAGAGTTCAAGGTGTTGTAAGGAAGTCCCCTTAGGTGTCACCACGGTGGTAAAGGAAGATAGTTGTAGCAGGATTCAGGCCCCTACTCTTGCTTCACTACTTCATCCAGAGCAGCTTCACTTTTACTCTGGGCTTCTGCACAGTTTTCACTCAAAGGGCTTCATGGCCACAAAGCCTTTGGAAAACCAATGATCTAAGAATAAGTCGGTCACAAAATGCTGAAATACAAAAAATAGGTCACAGAAAGCAGAAACTGTAAGCAAAGCCTGTGGTAAACCAAGGTGTTTTCCTATTCTTTCCCTAAGATGGACCACATTACAGGTTGATGGAGTTAGAACTCATCTGCTATAAATTTTGATTGCCTGCAGTTGGGCTTGTAAGTATCTATCAGAGAACAAGGCTAATGATTTTCAGTTGTAACAGCACTGGGGTTTTT
This sequence comes from Homo sapiens, assembly GCF_000001405.40. Lineage (NCBI taxonomy): Eukaryota > Metazoa > Chordata > Mammalia > Primates > Hominidae > Homo > Homo sapiens. Next base: position 30,974,951 of record NC_000022.11, on the reverse strand, counting down.
GCCTAAGGATGCAAAATGCATCCAATTCTTTGTAAGTATTACTCCAAGAAGTCCATGGCTGGATGACTTCTCAAGCATTATCTCAAGGAGATAAATCTCAAGAAAATATCTCCTCATCCCTTTTCTCCCCTTCCCAACCTCCTTAACCCACCTGAGATGCAATGTCCTTGAACTAAAGTTATGATACAATTCTAGGGATACAGAAGTATATTGCTAAATGTCATGGAATTTATCCAATTTGGGGTGAATTAACTTTCTTCCATTCCTTTCCTATGTCTCCCCATACATCTTCTAGGGATTCCCTTGACAGAAAATAAAGGTAATGGTCAAGATGCAAGACTCTCAGATGACAGAGACATACTAATTCAACCATTAATAAGAAGGTATGAGAAAGGGGGATTTTGAAGATGCTGTTTATTCTGGGGTGTCCAGGGCAATCTGCTGGCAATCAGGAAGCACTGGTTATACTGCTCTAGAGCAGTTTCTGCATTCCATTAGATGGAATGATGCAAAAAAATATCCTTCTGTGTTTGATTAAACTTAGGACACAAAGGGTTAAACAGCAAAATGGAACTCTTTACTAGAAGTCTTTTTTTTTTTTTTTCAGACTTCTGAATTTAAGCACAGAAGCAGTAGTAATTTGCTGCAAGTCTCCTGAGATCCTTTAATACACTATACCTCAATGTAGACTGGGGGAAGGGCCATGTCTTACATACTTTACTATCTTACTAGGTAACAGAAGCTTTCTCCATGTCATATTTACACACACACACACAATACTGACTTTAAAAAAACCAGGTGGCTCATTTTGTGTAAATACTAGTTTGCAAAGATAGGACCATAGACAAGCTCTTAGGGCCCAGGAATATCAGTAAGTCTTAAAAAATCTAAAAGTAGCTTTGTGTTTCATATTGGGTAGCTTTGCTGTTAGAACATGTCCCGTTTTTGACTTGACAATCTACCACCACGGAGATATTATGCCCTTAAACCGTGGGATATTGCCATGGGATTCTGGTCCAGATGTAGCTATCACGTGATCACACATCCTATGTGACTAGGGGCACCAGATCAGGAAGCTGGAAAATTTCCTGAGGTTCCCAATACCCAGCCATTTTAACACTGTGGGTAAAATGGAGGCTAATTCCAAGGAGAGTACTGGACTGGGTGTCAGAAAGCCTGGCCTCTACCACTTTCACAGCTGTGTCACCTTGGATAATTGCTTAACTTTTAAAATTTACATTCCCTCATTTCCAAAAAGGGATTATAATTCACTGTTATTTTGATAATTGAGATAAATGTACGTACAAGTGCTTTGAAACTGTAAAGTGCATTATAAACAGAGGGATTTACCATAGAGGTTCTACCTTGATGTATCAAGAGAAGCCTTTTCTGGAATCTGGTGCAGCCTTGTGAGATGCTGTTAGGTAAGGGGACTCCTTGGTAGAATTTCTTACATTTGTGTAAAAAGTTCTGGTTCCTGAGTAATTCCAAAGAAGATGCTATGAGGAGTTCACTGTGCCTTTGATTTGATCCCAATGGGTCAGAATATGTTTTCTCATTCAGTAGGCTACTACAGGATTTGAAGTAGAAAAAACAGGGTCCAGTGACCTTCACGGGATCCTAGATGTTCATGAATTTCAATCATTTGAGATTGTGGGGTGTGGTCCAATGCTGCTCTCAAAAAGATGTTGCCTTTCTTCAGAGAGCATTAATAACTAAAAAATCCCCTGGTCCAAATTTATTGTGTGTCTCTGAAGGCTTTAACTGAAGAAATGAAATGCACACTCATGGAACAAACTAGGCCTTTGTTGTGATAAAACAGCTTTAGCTATTTGGCTTGAGGACTCTGACTTCACTATAAAGGGCTGTGCTGAATCTGGGTAGAACAAGACAGGAGTGGAGGTAAAGGCCACATCATGATGGCTGAATGCCTCCTGGGTCACAGTGGTCCACTGGAATGGGTGTCTTCGTCAGTAGTAAGGTGGTAGGAATCATCTCGGGCAAAAATCCAGGTACCAGGTCTGTAGGCTGATGGAATAGCACAGGGAAGGTAGTCAGAAGGTCCAGGTGAACACTCAGCAATCAGGAGGCACAGGACTAGAAGGGGCAGGGACAAAACAGGTAAAATAACAAATGCATGGAATTACAAACACAGGACTCTAAGTGGGTCTGCTGTCAGCACATCGGCAGCCTGATGGCTGTTAATTCTTGATGAGCCTGGCTTAGGCAAAGACAAATGATAAATGAAAACAAACAACAGCAATCCAAAAAAGAAAACACAAAAGTCTGATTAACACTCTCGATTTGTGGGAACTGTCTCGCGAAGCAGCACACAGAAACTAAGCCTTATACTTTAGGAGAGTAATTTGATCGGATTCAGGGTACTGGGCATTTTTTGGTGAGGAGAGGAAGTGGCTCCACAAGTGCCATAAAAAGAACTGAGATTTTAAGTTTATATACCAACAATAAAACAAAGGAGACATTGCCCCTCTTCCTCTTCCAATGCCTTCCTCAAACTGTCTTATGACCTTCTCCTTTTAAAAAGCTGTCCTTTCATCTTAACAAGATTCCATCTTAAGTAGGAGAAAATAAGGTCTTGGTCCTTCTGTATGTAATACCCCATCATTCAACATATTGGTTTCTCCTTATGTCTGAGGGCTCCCTAGATCAAAATTTAGAATTAAAAAACATTAAAACATAAACATGATCCATATCTAGCGACTTTTCTCCTCATTAAGAGTAATGTAAGTTATCACATAGCAATTAAGAAAACACTTACTGAGTGGTTATTCTGATAGCCTGCTCTCTAAACTCCTCCTTCCTAATAAATGCATCTTGATATGTTGTGGTGTATGTGGGCAAAGATGCACTAAACAAGGACCCTGCTTTCAAGGAGTCTGCTATCTGCAAAGACAGTAAATGCAGGCAAGTAACTATTTTACAGGATTTTGTATACAGATAGAGGATACATAACGAAATGTCATAAAACTTTAAAGCTCTATTCTGGCTAGTTAGGAGACTCATGGAAAAGAGGGCATAAGAGTTGGATACTGAGAAAATGGCAGTTTTGACAGATGAAAAGCCACAGAGCAGCAGTTCCAAAGTAGAATGAGAGTATGAACAAAAGTGCAGAGATGGTAAAGGATAAGGCATTTTGGAAAATGGCAAGTACCATAATTCACTTTGGATGGAGCATCCTCAGTTTGCACTGAGGGTCTGGACAGAAACTCAGGTCTTCTAATTCCCAGTAACAGTGCTGGTGGTAGTGCTTGCTCAGTCGTTGTCTCTTTTCTCACAGCAAGGTCAACAGTCCCAAAATTCAAAAATAAAAAAAAATCTACCTCCAGTGTTCCTGCCGCATCGTGACAAGCTCTTTCGGGTTCCAGGTCCAGGTCTTGAAAATCTGGAAATCTGGAGTCCATGGCTGTGGCTACACTGAAAGTTATCTGCTCCAACTATTGCAGAACACTGTAGTGAAATCTTTTCAACCTCCAATCCTGGACATCTCATGTTTTGCCACAGAATTTCAAGCTTTGAGTTCCAGTTGTTTTTTTTCCCTCCTTTCTGCTGAGGAAAGCATCTTATCACCACAGTCTTAAGTCTTTTGAGGTACATCCGGATTTAATTACAAAAGAGCAAAAAGACCAACACTTTTTTTTCTCCAAGTCATTTCTCTGGAAGTGAGATTATCTGTCTCTGCCCTTTAGGAAAAGGGAATAGTCAATTGATTTTTTCAGACATTTGAATGAAATAGCATAACTGGCTAACATCTAATCAGACAAAATACACTTAAATGTGTTTGTGTTCACTTGCTTAGGGCTGTACCACTTGGTGAGCACCACTCCACAAAACGAAAATGTTTGAAATCCAATTGTTCAAACATTTTTATAGTGTTTGTTGGATAATGGCCTGAAATTTGATAAAAGCAGCTGACAACTAACAAAGAAGCAAAAACTGGCATCTTGGACATCCTAGTATTACACTTGCAAGCAATTAGAACACAAGGAGGGCCAAGGAAAAAGTTTAGCTTTGAATCACTTCCAAATCTACTGATTTTGAGGTTCCGCAGTAGTTCTAACAAAACTTTTCAGACAATGTTAACTTTCGATTAAGAAAGAAAAAAACCCCAAACATCTTCAGGAATTCCATGCCAGGTTCAGTCTCTTCCAGTGAGCCCGCTTGCTAAAAGTCCACGTGCACCATTAATTAGCTGGGCTGGCAGCACCATGTAAAAAGAAGCCTATTCACCACCAACCACACAGCCTAGACATGTAAAGTAGGATCAAGTAATGGATGACAACCATGGTCGTGGAATATGGTCAATGAGAGTCAGAAAAGTACAGGCACCAGTACAAGCAGCAGATAACAGAGTTGACGGGCCAAAGGATAAAATAGGCTTATTTAAATAGGATGCTACAGAACACATCCACTCCTAATTGTAGCTGCTTTACACTGGGTGCCATTGTACCATATGCATCAGCCACCCTTCAGGCACCCCATGGTGAAAGAAAAGGATTCAGAATAGAAGCCAAGCAGGGGACTGTTGTTAACCCCGAATATCCATTATGCATAGAAACAGCTCACATATCCCAGGGACTCAAACAGGGCTTCAAAATGGTTGTGAAGGGTCCCAAATGACATCTAGGCCTCAGTTTCCTCTCTGTAGCATGAAGAAATTGTGATTCTTAACTCTTCTGGGTCACAGCCCCCTTGGAAAACTTGCTAGCGATGGATCATCATTCCCCTAAAACGCACATTCCCACAAATTCCCATCATTCCCCCAAACCGCACATTCCCACAATTTCAGGAAGTTTGGGGATCCCCAACTCCAATCCAAGGTTCCCAGGTTCAAAACCCAAGGATTGGGGAACTGCTAAGTTTTCTTACAACTCAAAAAAAATTATAAACAATAACCATCCTTTACGTACACCCACGCTTTATAGTTTACAAAGCGATTTCAACCCCACACACATTGATAGGCAGAGGAGGAAACTGAGGCGCAGACAAATTACAGAGTGACTCGCCTAAGGTCACTCCGCCAACTGGTGGCTAGGCCCGGAAGAAAACCCAGCTCTTCCGACTCCGGAGCTCGTCTCCCCACCCCGGGGCTGCCGCCAGAGCTCCCGCCCCTCACTAAGGCGGCATAAGGAGGAAAAGGCAAAGTAGAAATCCCACAACCAACCATCCTCCGGCCCCCTCCTGCCCCCCCAACTGGGTCCTTGCAGGCCCCGAAGGGTGGCGCCAGGCCTCCAAGCCGGCCCCGGCCACCCCCGCCTCCCCGGCCGCTCCAAATCCCGCGGCCGCTGCCGCCGCCGCCTCCCCCGGAGCGGGGCGGAGCAGCTGCCCGCCGCCGCCGACCACCCGGACGACTCCTCGTCGAATCGCAAACGCATAGGCCGCCGCCCGAGTTCTGCGTACGAGAAGAAAGACGCGGCGCGAGCGCCAACGGCCACCGGGCGCGCGCCGCGGCGGCCGGGCCTGCGCCCCAAGAGCTGGATGCCAGAGCAGGAGAAAGAGCCGCCAACCGATCGCTCGATCGACCGCACGCCCGTTCCTTCGCCCTACCAGACCCGGGAGGGGGGGAGGGCGCGCCAGGGCTTCTTCGATTTAGGGGCCTGACTCCCCGGCGACGAGACAAGATGGCTCCTCCGGTCCGCACCGCAGCTACCGTCCCGGCTGCGTCGCTCGGCCCGCCCCCGGTACTGTTTCTTTAAATGGCGGAGAGGGTCAGGAAAGCAGGAAGAGAGGCGCACGCTGTCACGTGACAGGGGCGGGACCGGCCAACCAAGATCCGGTCACATGGGGACACGCAGCCCGCCAATCAGGAGGCTGTACATCAGGGCGGGGGCGGGAGGAGCTGCAGCTTTGTGATTGGCTGAATGCTCCGCGGAGGCCTCGGGGGCTTGGGGCGTCGGGGAGTGTGCGAGGTGGCCGGGGCTGTGTGCACTATCGGAGACAAAGCGGTGGCTGTGGTGTCTGTGACGGCGGCGGCAGAGCAGCTCTAAACGCCGAATTTCGTGTTGCTGAATCCTGTCACCATCTCAACTAGCGCGGCGCGCGGGCGGCGCGCGGGCGGCGGCGGAGGCAGCGGCGGCGGCGGCGGAGGCGGCAGCAGCACATGGTTCCAAGAGCGCTCTGCGGCTGTTGGGTTCCAATTCCGCGGGGAGGGACAAAGGCAGTTGTGAGATCCGGGTAGTGCCCGGTCAGGTGGTGCGCTCGCCACTGCCCTCGATCCGGTCCTTGGAAGCCGGGAGTAGCTCCTCTTCGTGGGGAGGCGGCCACGGGACCGAGGCCCGGGAAGGGCCTGGGAGGCTGAGGCTGTTGTCTGAGGGACGTGGGGGCGGGGCGCGGCCTGCCCGAGGTGCTGTGGGCGGGTCATTTGTGAGGTGTTTATGTGGGCCAAGTGTGAGGTAATCTGACCACCACCCTGAACTGGGTTTGGTCCGGCTTTGAAAAAAGAAATCGTGAGTGCCTAGGAGCTTTTTCACTTGGGAGGTGGTGAAGCTGCAACTTGCGCCATATAACACTCCGTCGACATCTTGGTCTCCGGTCTTGGGCCTGTTTAAGAATCCTGGCATCACGTGTGGCGAAGACATGGCTGATCAGTTTTCTGACAGAAGTGGGTAAATTTCCGCGTTGGTAAATTTCCTGACAGGAAATTTCGGGGAACCAAAAAAGGCTGGAAGAACATGAAGATGGAGCAGTCATAAACCACCCACTCAAGGACCATCTCCTTCAGGACCATCCACACGAGACTCAGATTGTCTGAATTGAGCTATCGCAACTTAATGCTAAAAGCTCCTTAAAGCTACAGATTTATGACATAGTTCCTTCCAAAATATTACATCATAAATCATTGAGAAGATTAAAAAAAAACACTTGAAGAAATTGTAGTTTTAAACATCTCTGCATATATTTTGGATAGCTACTAGGTTACTTTAACTGTCATTAAGGAGCACAGACTTACTGAAGCTTTACTGGACAGAATCCTGGGAAATCGATATCATTATAAGGTTATATTTCCCAGTTAGCGGGTGAAGGGCTGGAGACCTTATTGCAGTCATGGCTTTCACAAATTACAGCAGTCTGAATCGAGCTCAGCTAACCTTTGAATATCTGCACACAAATTCGTAAGTATCCTCTAGGTGCCACTGAGGTAACCAGTAACTCGTTCCTTGATATTATATGGAAATCGTTTCCCCAGAAAATTTTGCTTTTTCACTTTTTGAGATGTATCCCACTGGAGTGAAATGTGTCACTGGATATCTTGAGCTCTGTATTGAAGAACTGAGATCAGTGAAATACTTGTTGCTAATCCAGAAGAATCTGATTTTTGTTTATTGGATCAAAATTTTCTAAATGCAAACTTTAGTTATTTGAAGTCAATATGTTGAGTTGTTTCATTCAAGTGTTTATAGGAATCCAACAAATACTGCTCTATTGGATCGCCAAATGTTGGACTATTTTAGTATCAACCGTTTCCCCTCTGTAGTGACAACGTCCTAAACAGTTAGGTTTATAACAAGTGTTTACTTTCTAACAAGAAAACAGAAGACATTTAAATGACAACTTTCAAGAAGAAAATTTTTATTTTTTCAGAAGTTGGCATTATCTTCCTGGCAGATTGCTCACATCCAATATTATTTGTATATGCTAAACAGGAAACGGCAACTTGTTTATATCTCTATTTAGATAGTCTTTCCCCAAAATTTCCACAGAAACATACAGTGTTCATGGTTCTTGAGTTCATGAAGGAGTAATCTAATCACTCCAACATGGTCTGGAATGTTTCAGGTTTAATCCATATGCCCACTCTCTTGGAGGCTGTCCAGTAGCGTCAAAACTTTAGTGTTTTAATACATTCACCTGTTACTTTTGAGATGAAGGTAAGTGTTCTAACATTCTAGTACCTGGAGAGGAGATGAGCAGCTACATGAATGGTCCAGTCTCTGAAGAACCCACTTCAGAGTCGAGAGTATAGACTTCCATTATGTAGTAATAGTACAATGGTTTTTAGCTTTTGATGGAGAAGACAACATGTTTGTGATATCATAATGTCTGTAATATTTCTATTTTTCCTTTAAAGGGAATAAAATTTTGCCAAGTAGTGAAGCAAACTGTCAAATGGTGAAAGCCTGTTTTTATTTTTTTTAGGAAGTTTGTTATTTTTTTGAGAGACGGAGTCTTGCTCTGTTGCTCAGGCTAGAGTGGGGTGGCGCAATCTTGGCTCACTGCAACCTTCACCTCCCAGGTTCAAACGATTCTCCTGCCTCAGCTTCCCAAGTAGCTGGGACTACAGGCATGCACCACCACGCCCAGCTAATTTTTGTATTTTTTTAGAGAGACGGGGTTTCACTATATGTTGGCCAGGCTGGTCCCGAACTCCTGACTTCAGGTGATCCACCCACCTTGGCCTCCCAAAGTGCTGGGATTACAGGCATGAGCCACCATGGCCGGCCTGTAGCAGTCACCTAGGTTGAATTCTAACACTTAAGTATGATGACCCTGAAACACACTTGGGTGAGGTTGCTGATTAGTGATTATTCAGCTAGTTGATAGCATAGCCTTGGGAAAAAACTTTAGTGTCCTTTTTAATGTTTGAACTGCCATATTAAGAACAAGCAGTTGAAGGCCACTTAAATGTTCATGGATGACTGTGTTTGATAAATGGTTATCTCAGCTCTGAATTTTGGAATGATGGTAAGTCTGGAATTACAGATTTTATGATAATCTTGGAAGACCATGAACTGGACTTCAGAATTTCAGTTCTTGTTCCAGCTTCACCAAAGACTTTATGGGATAATAATAGTAACAACAGTTAATTGCTTCATATCAGTCACTATTTTAAACATTGTCCAAAGCAATCTTTACAGGAAGCCTTTGGGATAAGGATTATTCCTATTTTGCATTTGAGGAAACTGAGGTTCAAAGAGATTAAATTACATGGTAATGGCTATATAGCTGCCAAGTGGCAGACTTAAACGGTGCCAAGATTTAAGACAGTGGGATTTATCTGGCCACAGTAGTTGGTGCTTTTAACCATTAGGCAGTGCCTACTGTAGTCAGTTTTACCTTCAAGAGCCTATTTGCTTGTCTATAAAGCAAAGGGTATACTTCACAGTTTAAAAGTCTTCAATTTTAGTTTATCTCAATGAATCTCTAAGGACTCTGGGATATTTCTCCCTTCTTTTTCCCCCTTTGCTATTTTATAGCTTATTGATAGATACTTGGCACTGCCAAGGAAAGGAAAGAAACCAGTTAAGTCATTTGTTGGGGAATTTTCTGGGACTTTGACTTACCCATGTTGAACTGGAACCACCTGCTTGCATGAACATTTGAGGGTTGGAGTATCATTTTGGAAGCTCTGGAATTTCTTACCTGGATCACAAATTCGACCTTAGAAGTTGTTCTCCTTTTTGATGTATTAGTCCTACCAGAAGACAGTATAAACCCTAAACCAACAAGATAAGTTTTTTATTTCTAATTTCAGAAGATTTTTAAAACATTGTGGTGACCTGATTGGAAGTTCATTTATAGAGAAAATAAATTTTAAAATTCTCACATGATGTGACTTGTAGCTCATAAAGATGGAAGATGAACCACCTGTGTGTAAAGTGGTTCAGTAAGTCATCTTCAGAGAAGGGAAGATTTGTCTCTCTTCTCCTTTGTTCTGTTAAAATCTTAGGAACACGAGACCATTTCATGGTGTCTGACATCTACAGTATTGCGAATTAGGAAATAAATGGTCCTTTGCTTACTTCTCATTAAATGTAGACTTAGAAGCAGTGACCAGATGAGAAGTGTGGAAATCAGTGTGGTGCAGTGAAAAGACCGTGTGCTTGCAAACCAGCCAAACCTGGACTTGAGTGTTTCCTGGCTGTGTCCTTGGACAGGTCAAGTTCTTGAATCTCAGTTTCTTCAACTATAAAATGGGGCTAATCTGACAGTTTTTACGAGGATTATATGAAATGATGTTTGTAAAGTTCTTAGCTCATACGGTGGTACACAGTAAACATTGTGTGAATGGTGAGTGTTACTCTATAATAGTTTATATAAACCAGAAGTTGGTCACTGTGGTGGCAACTTGTTTGGTGCTAGTCATTAGGCACATCAGTTCTTAGGAAATTCTGGAGCATCTTTTGGAGACAGTGAACATCTGTCTTTTTTTGTATCAGGTCTTTGATAACTTTTGATGGTTATTCTGTTGGTTACTTCAGCTTTTTAAGGTTTACAGCAGGCCTGGGAAATAAATTCTCGTGATAACCTGAAAGTCTTCAGTTAATTTAACATCAGATGTTGCTAGTATGAGATGATAAATGTTAGGGTTTTTAAGTAAAAGGAGTTTCATGCTGTTACTTCTCTTTGGTAGTGGGTTTTGTGACTTCTACTTCAGATGTAGTGGTGGTAGTGATGTTCCTTTGGCATAAAATGTGTATATTAAGTCACTTTGTTTGCAGTACTGCTAAGTGGTCTGATAGAGCAGGATGCTTAGATATAAGATGTCTGCTATTTATTTTTGTTGGCACATTTAGTCACTTAACATCTTGGGCATATATTTCTGGGTTTTTTGTTTTGTTTTGTTTTTGGTTTTTTTTTGGATGGAGTCTTGCTCTGTCACCCAGGCTGGAGTGCAGTGGCACCATCTCGCCTCACTGCAACCTCCACCTCCCAGGTTCAAGTGATTGTCCTCCCTCAGCCTTCCAAGTAGCTGGGACTACAGGCGCATGCCACCATGCCTGGGTAATTTTTTGTATTTTTAGTAGAGATGGGGTTTCACCGTGTTAGCCAGGATAGACTTGATCTCTTGACCTCATCATCCGCCTGCCTCGGCCTCCCAAAGTGCTGGGATTACAGATCTGAGCCACTGCACCCAGCCCTATTTCTGAGTTTTATGGGTATGTGAAGTGAATGTAGAGGAGCCTGTCAACTCAGAGACTTAGATTACTTATTACTTTAAGGCTGTTGAGCAGGCTCATATCTTAAATATATTAAAGCCATTTCAATGTAAAATAGTTGCTCTAGAATTTCTCAGCTTTATTTTCTAGCAATTAAGGCAATTACCTATTGTCAGCACGTCTAGGAACTCAGCAAAGGTATACTGTGTGATGGGCCTATGGATGATCTATTGGTTTACATTCAGGATGAATGTAAATAGGGAGACCATTTTCCTTACATAACAAGCTAATTTACAGGTGAATTTGTCCCTGGAAATGCTAAGCTGCAAACTGTTTATACTGTGACACAAATGATATAAAAGCCGTGATCAGCCAGGCGCGGTTGGCTCATGCCTGTAATCCCAGCACTTTGGAAGGCCAAGGTGGGCAGATCACTTGAGGCCAGGAGTTCCAGACCAGCCTGGCCAACACGGTGAAACCCCATCGCTATTAAAAATACAAAAAATTAGCCGGGCATGGTAGCTTGTGCCTGTAATCCCAGCTACTCGGGAGTCTGAGGCAGGAGAATCTCTTGAACTGGGAGGCAGAGGTTGCGATGAGTTGAGATCATGCCGCTGCACTCCAGCCGGGGCAACAGAGCAAGACTCCATCTCTCAAAAAAAAAAAAAGCCATAATCAGTTGAAAGTGAACGAATTTTCAAAAAATCTTTGTCTTTTTCCAGTTCACCTTTCTTGGATCACATGCAAAGGATGTTTAGGTCTGTGAAGAAAAGAATTTCTAGGCCGGGTGCTGTGGCTCACGCCTGTAATCCCAGCACTTTGGGAGGCCGAGGTGGGTGGATCACGAGGTCAGGAGATTGAGACCATCCTGGTTAACATGGTGAAACCCCGTCTGTACTAAAAATACAAAAAAATTATCTGGGCGTGGCTGCGGGCTCCTGTAGTCCCAGCTAGCTACTCGGGAGGCTGAGACAGGAGAATGGCCTGAACCCGGGAGGCGGAGCTTGCAGTGAGCCGATCGCACCACTGCACTCCAGCCTGGGTGACAGAGCGAGACTCTGTCTCAAAAAAAAAAAAGAATTTCTTTTGATGTTTACTCTATCCCAAATGCTAGCTAGCAATGAGTGTACTCTTGGAATATTATTTGGTAAAAAAGAATTTGTGCAGTTGGTATAATTTTGATTCTTATGATTTTAAGAAATATTTAGAACTCTTGATTTTAGCATCTGGAAGATCTATCTTTAATCAGTTGGAGGTCTGGAAGAGATTCTGAGTATTATCTCTGACTTTACCAACAGTGGTCACAAAAGGCTTCTTTTATGATATGTACTGCCATCACAAAAGTACCCTTTGGCTACATTGTAAAGGCTACTGTTAGCTTATCTGAAATATGTATGTATGCATGGAACAGCATTGAGACTGTGTGGAACAACAAAGACCATTAGTTTTTTTTTTTTTTTTTGAGACAGGGTCTGGCTCTTTCAGCCAGGTTGGTGTGCCGTGGCGCAGTCTTGGCTCACTGCAACCCTCGCTTCTTAGGCTCAGGCCATCCTCCCACCTCAGCCTTTCAAGTAGCTGGAACTACAGGTGTACACCACCACACCTGGCTTATTTATTTATTATAAATAATAATTTATTTTTATTTCTCTACTTTTTGTAGAGATGGGGGTTTTGCCGTGTTGCCCAGGCTGATTTCAAATTCCTGGGCTAAAGGCATCTGCTGGCCTGGGCTTCCCAAAGTGCCAGGATTACAGGTGTGAGCCACTGCACCCTGCCCATTTAGAATTTTTTGAAAGTTCTAAATATGCAAGGCACATTTCTTTCTTTCTTTCTTTCTTTTTTTTTTTTTGAGGTGGAGTTTTGCTCTTGTCCAGGCTGGAGTACAGTGGCGCGATCTCACAATGTCGGCTCACTGCATGCAACCTCTACCTCCCGGGTTCAAGCGATTCTCCTGCCTCAGCCTCTCAAGTAGTTAGGATTACAGGTGTCCGCCACCATGCCTGACTAATTTTTTTGTATTTTTAGTAGAGTCAGGGTTTCAACATGTTGGCCAGGCTGGTCTCAAACTCCTGAGTTCAAGCGATCCACCCACCTCGGCCTCCCAAAGTGCTGGGTTTATAGGCGTGAGGCACCACACAAGGCACATTTCTAAGCACTGTGTGGCAGGTGCTTTGTGCTTGCCCTTTGGAGATCTGCTTATTGCATTCTAAATTTCTCATTCTTGTGGGATGCTATCGGAAAATATGTATTGCTAAGAAGCAGTTGAAATTTCTGTTTTGGTTTTCTTGTCCTAATGGCAGAGGGTGTCAAAATTAGTTTTCCAGAATATTCAGATTGACCATTCTCACTACCAAAGACTGGAAACTTCATTATTTATTCTGAAGTTAGTACATTCTGATGCAAGATGTGGTCTCATACTTACTATGGTTGTGCTCTTGTTTTTTTCTGGTAGCTCTATTTTTGAGATTCCTTGATTTACGTTAAAAGTACAAACTCATGTTGAAATGAGAAGAATTGGGATAAAATTGGTCATTTTATATTTCTATATAACAATCCTCAAAAATATTTAGGGTATATAAAATGAATTCACTTTGTAAGTTTCTAAGTCACTTATATGTTTGATAGGAAAATGACTGGTTGAAAGTTTGAAACCAAATGTTAGATTCACTTTTAACCAACATTACCTTTGGCAAGTCACCTTAATTTTTAAGCTTATTTCTCCCTAGTTAGTGGGGTAGTTTACAGAATACTTTTTGTTTATTTAGTTGGTAATTTAAAGAATTTAAAGTGATAATTCTAGAGACAAATATTTTTTGTTCTTTAAATTTTTTTTTTAAATTTTTACTGAGGGGGCACAAGACAGATATTTTTAATAATTAAACATATGGGCCGGGCATGGTGGCTCACGCCTGTAATTCCAGCACTTTGGGAGGCTGAGGCGGCTGGATCACCTGAGGTCAGGAGTTCAAGAGCAGCCTGACCAACTTGGTGAAACCCTGTCTCTACTAAAAATATTTTAAAAAATTAGCTGGGCATAGTGGCAGGCGCCTGTAATCCCAGCTACTCGGGAGGCTGAGGCAGAAGAATTGCTTGAACCCTGGAGGCAGAGGTTGCAGTGAGCCGAGATTGCGCCGCTTGCACTCCAGCCTGGGCGACGCAGTGAGACTCTGTCTCAAAACAAAAAAACAAAATAACAACAACAACAACAAAATATGGCTGTTTTATGGACTTTTTTTTTTTTTTTTTTTGAGAAATCTGTCTTTTCCAGCCGGGTGTGGCGGCTTATGGCTGTAATCCCAGCACTTTGGGAGGCCGAGGCGGGCGGATCACCTGAGGTTGGGAGTTCAAGACCAGCCTGACCAACATGGAGAAACCCCGTCTCTACTAAAAATACAAAAAAATTAGCCGGGCATGGTGGCCTATGCTTGTAATACCAGCTACTCAGGAGGCTGAAGCAGGAGAATTGCTTGAACCCGGGAGGCGGAGGTTGCAGTGAGCGGAGATTGCGCCATTGCACTCCAGCCTGGGCAACAAGAGGAAAAACTCCGTCTCAAAATAAATAAATAAATAAATAAATCTGTCTTTTCCCTGTAGTATAATTAATTAGATTTTACCCAGAAGAATTTGAACTCTATTTCCTAGGTAAATTGATGATAAAATTTCTTTTGGTTATAACATATTTGTCGTGCTGCCTTTGGATTAGCAGCACATATATTCACTGATCTTGTTGGGGGAAAGGTCTTCCTATAATTCCACCAAGTGATAGTTTAATTCAAAATTTGCATTTGTAGGCCGTGTGTGGTGGCTCAGGTCTGTAATCTCAGCACTTTGGGAGTCCAAGGCAGGCAGATCACCTGAGGTCAGGAGTTTGAGACCAGCCTGGCCAACATGGTGAAACCTCCTCTCTACTAAAAATACAAAATTAGCCGGGTGTGGTGGCGCATGCCTGTAATCCCAGCTATTCTGGAGGCCAAGGCAGGAGAATCACTTGAACCCAGGAGGTGGAGGTTGCAGTGAGCCAAGATTGTGCCATCGCACTCCAGCCTGGGCGACAAGAGCGAAACTCTGTCTCAAAAACAAAACAAAACAAAAAAATTGCATTTGTAAAAATTTGGAGTTACTTGAGGAAGAAAAAACAATATTCCTGGAGAGTTTAGTTATGGATATTTATTTAATAAATGTTTTACATTTTGTTTGCAATATGGTAAGCGATCAGAGATCCTAGATGCTGGTTATTTACTATTGATATATTTCATTTAAAAATTCTTACTTTAACTGAAAATTGGCTGAAACTTTTTACTTTGGCTGAAACTCTATGCAAAAAAGTCAGAGTAACATGGATATTTTTGAAAAATTGATGGTCATGTATTATGTGGGTTAATATTGTATTTAATCAGAAGTCAAGTGTTTTTTTTTTAGGTGGTTCTATGTGGACACATCCTAATTTGATATCTCATGAGGACTATTGTGGAAAAGAGCACAAATTAAACAGTGTAAATTGCACATGCTCAATGTATAACTTGTTAGCATTTTGTTTTACCAATACTTGTGCGTCATCTACCAGTGAAGAAAGGAAACTCATACACTTTTGTGTAATTTATAAGCAAAAATATCCCATTTGAAAGAGAAGGTAAAGAGAATAACTCATTTTATGACTTTCTCAGATTTTGGCTAAAACCAGAACTTTCCCTCCATTAAAGAAAGTAATCGAAGACCTTTTCCAACAATTCCTTCTAGGATGACAAGAGCTTGCTTGGTGTGGTTGCCTAGGGCCCCTGTTAACATTAACCCCTTCAAGGAGGGGAACCAGTGGTCATCTCCTCTGGGAGGCTGCTCAAAGTTTGGATTGAGTAAATACACAGTTATCATGTTATTCAAAACTTACTATACTCCAGTCCGAGTGACAAGAATGAGAACCTGTCTCAAAGAAAAAACAAAAAACAAAGTTCAATATTTATGCATAAGATATATCCTTAAAATTCTTGCTCTGAGATATGCAGAAACTGACCACTGGTTAAGGCAATGAAAAATAAAATATACAGGCATTTTTCTAGGCAGGATATGAATAGTGAAAAACACTTTTAGCAGTTACTACACATAGGACTCTTTCAATGCTTCAGGGTGGGTTTCCCAACTCAAAATAGGAAGAATAATCATTTCTGAATAGATGGCAGGACTTGTTAAAGATTAACAATTGAGGGGAGTTGGGGAGCTCTGGAAAGCCTTGAGTAGTATAAAAACAATGCAAATGGTGGTTTTAAGATTTTTTTCAAAAAACTTAAATATTTTATAACCATGGCTTTTTATTAGGAATTATAACTTCAATAATTCTTTTGCTGACTTTTAGTATTTATCATTTCAGAACCACTCACGAATTCTTGTTTGGTGCCCTTGCTGAACTGGTTGATAATGCAAGGTATGTAGTCTTCAGGCATACAATCTGTGCTTGAAGTGGAAACACTTTAGGTAGCTGTGACCTTTGCTCTCTGAAGACTTGAGAGGAAGACATTTCTGTAGAATGTAGACATTCTGTAACTCCTAGGATGCCTCTTACTAAAAATAATATTTTTAATAGCACATTAGTTGATAACTTCCACTTTCTTACTTAAATTCACTAATTGTTCTTTGTGTTCTAGCCTAAAAATAGTGAGTTATCACCTCCAAAACCACTTCCCTTGTGTATTAGAGCAAGATAATTGTAGTAAAATGCAAGGAATTAAGATAGACACTTAGGAATCATATTAATGAGACAGGCAGGCTCTGATTTAATTTGTGCTAGCAGGATAGTACACCATCTAATGTCTTTAAAACTATGCCAAAGTTCTGTGTCTTCTCAAATTGTATATTTGTCAGATAACTAAATGATCACAGTGTCTTTCATTGTTAGCAGCTGTGCTTGGAAGGAATCATTGGTCAGCACTGTCTTATACTGAGTTCTTAGTGATAGAAACATGTAAATGTTACTGTGTAAGACTGAATAGAAGTTTGGGTTAGTTCTGATGTAAATCCAAGTCCATATCAAGATTCTGTTTATAATTAGGAAAATAGTGTCTTAGTCTTATTCCTGAATGCAAACATAAAATTCAGACACATTTACTGACTAGGTTTTGATGACTAAGGAAGGAAGAGGAGGATGAAAATTGACAGCGGAAGTACTTTCAAACAGATCTCCAGTTAATGTGCTCGCTGATAATTTCCTCTTTACCTCTGTGTATACAATAAACTTATTCTAATTACTTTTGTTGTTGTTATTAGCTGGACTGCTCATGGAAGTGTGCTAGTTGTTTAACCAGAAAACTCCTGTTTTGTTTCAATCCTGGTTGACTCATCATTTTTCCATTCAATTAAAAAGTGTTGTAGGTTAATGGAACTGTGTTTGAATTTGCCACTTGTTAATTTAGTGAGACCATGATGTGCGGTGGCAGGCTGCTTTTTTTGTGTATCATATGGTAAAATAGAGATTCTTAGGAGTATGTATTCCTACTTGTGTATACATTTTGCCAGTATCTCTCATATTTGAAAATGTTTTAGATATTTGAGAATAGGTATATGTAGAGCTGTGTGGATTTTTTGCATGTAAAACCAGTGAAACGGTTTCATTTTCTTTGCAGTTGGCAGAATTGGACTAAATTACTTCTGAGCCTTTATGGAAGTCTTCATTGATAACTGAATCTGTATGATTTCAGCCAATGGTTGGAGTCTAATGGGGCAGGGGTATCCCAACTTCCTTTCAGGTTTAGGGAGGTTAAGATTATGGGCTCAGGAATCAGTCTGCTGACTGCAGTGTGTATACCACGAGAAGTGATTTTTCACAGGTTTTGTGGGAGATTATTGTCTTCCTTTTTTCTTAAAATATTGACGAGAAGAAAAAGTGGACAAGTTATTGGAACATCTTTTTATGATTGCAATCAAATGAGTGAGAAAAACATATTTGAATCATTTCTTAGGGTATAAAGGGAAATATTCTTGCTTATCCTATAGATGTTTTTACCACAAAATCAGGATTTAAAAAAAATATCCAGGCCCCATGTCATGTGATCATCTTCAATAATTTGGGGCTTCAGAAATGTTTTACAGATATATAAAGAAAATTGTGTTGTCAAGTATAAAAGTAAAAAAAATTCTAAATGTCTATAGAATTTCTGTATGGCTTCCTGAAAACAGACTCAAAATACTCTGCATTCTACTCAAATCACTATGCATTTTGATGGTTGATATTTCATATTAATTCACATGATTCTTTTCTTTTCACTTTGCAGAGATGCTGATGCCACCAGAATAGATATTTATGCAGGTAAGTCAGGCTTTAGTCCTTCTAATGTCTAGTTCATCTTAATGCATTTATTACTGTGCCTAAGAAGAATTGAGTGGGAAATAACTGGATTCGGGAGCCTGGGAAGATGGCATGATTATTCCAGGTCATAGGTAGAAAAGGGGCAGCCGTAGTCAGGTATGGTCAGCTCTGGTCAGGCATAGAAACCAAGAATATTGGTTTCAAGAAACTAACACAAGGTATCCAAATCTATGTAAATAGCTACTAGTAGAGTTATGGAAGTGATGGAGTGGAACAGTAGAGAGTGAAATGACCAAGTTATTTTACTGGTAGGCGTTAATAGGTGAACGAGGTTTGTGGTACCTGCAGCCAAGGAGAGATCTTGTTGGAGGCCACTTTGTTTTGAACTCTTGGTGAGCACTAGTCTCAACTTGGAGAATTGCTGGTATCGGTTGCGGAAAATAGCAGTAACTGGATTGGCTCTGAGGTTTGCTGAGTTGTTCTCAGAGGTGTCAGGAAGGAAGGCTGCTTGGCTTGGAATTTACACCTGTCAACATCCTATTTCGTTTTGCTTATTTGGCTCTGCTGTTTTGTAGTAAGATCTTCTCCTTTTCCTAGAGTGAGTGCAACAGTCATTGGCCTTTTAATTAATTAACTCATTAATTTTAATAGTTTGCTTTCTGCCTGGTATTTGTACTAGCACCTTTTTTAGTCATTTGAATACTAAAAATTTGAAAGCAGAATGGAGGAAGACAGCTTTTTTTTTTTTTTTTTTTTGAGATGGAGTCTTACCTTGTCACCCAGGCTGGAGTGCAGTGGCACGATCTTGCCTCACTGCAACCTCCATCTCCCAGGTTCAAGCAATTCTGCCTCAGACTCCCAAGTAGCTGGGATTACAGGCGCCCACCACCACACCCGGCTAATTTTTTGTATTTTTAGTAGCGACGGGGTTTCACCACGTCGGCCAGGCTGGTCTCAAACTCATGACCTCAGGTGATCTGCCTGCCTCGGCCTCCCAAAGTGCTGGGATTACAGGCGTGAGCCACCACACCTGGCCGGAAGACAGCTTTTAAATACAATTCGACTAGTGTGATGTGTTTTTTTCTGACAGACTTTTCTGAAATCCTCTGAAATGTGTGAGGTGATATTTTGAGTAGCATGAACTAGGTTCTGAGAAGTCTGTATGTTTACATGGGAATGAAATAACCCCTCTTCATGGACCCTTTTGATGAATGGGAACAAGCACACAACTAAGTAGTAATTCTCAGAACCACTAATGTCATATAATTATGAAGAATCTGCCCCAGATTTGATGAATTTCTCATGTCTGCTATACTTTGGAGCAAAGAAAATCCTCAGAGCAGCTAAAAGTCAGCTGTACTGCTTCAATTCTGAAAGCCTTTTGTTCAAAAGGCTCTGCCAAAGTGGTAAAAATAAGGCTTCTTTTCTCTCTAGAAGAAAGTAACAGGAAATAGGGGCACACAGGAAAAGAATGTTAGAAGATGATTACTAAATGCTCAGGCCAAGGCTGGGCGTGGTGGCTCACACCTGTAATCCCAACACTTTGGGAAGCCGAGGCAGGCGGACCACCTTAGGTCGGGTGTTTGAGACCAGCCTGACCAACATGGAGAAACCCTGTCTCTACTAAAAATACAAAATTAGCCGGGTGTGGTGGTGCATGCCTCTAATCCCAGCTACTCGGGAGGCTGAAGCAGGAGAATCGCTTAAACCCAGGAGGTGGAAGTTGCCATGAGCCAAGATCGCACCATTGCACTCCAGCCTGGGCAACAAGAGCGAAGCTCCGTCTCAAAAAAAAAAAAAAAAAAAAAAATGCTCAGGCCAGATGGAGGTGCCTTTCCAAGCCAAAGCATGTATCTTACATCTGAGTGTGCTTTCTCAGGAATGGTAACAGCTACCGCTGGAAAAATAGGGCTTATTTAATCAATGCACAGATGCTAAAGCAGAGAATGGGCCTCTTCTCCAAGTGATGTTGAAGGTACAAATCGTAATGGTCAAGTCTACTTGGAAGACGTTTTTTAAAAAAGATCATCTCTGCTGTCTCCTACTACATTTGGTGGGTAAATTTCAGCAAGGAAGTTTAGTTCCTGACACTCAGAATGAAGTTGGATTTCAATTTAAATGAAAAAGGACCCAGTGTGTCTTTATTCTGTGCTCAGTACAACTCCTGTTATGCTTTGGGAAATGTCCAGAGAGGAGGAGATGGGGGTCTTTGCTTTAAGAACTTAGTCTTTAATTGGAGAGACAATTAATGCACTATGGATAATTAGAGAACAATAACTAGATCTTGAGGGAACAGTCAAGACAGTTAAGGATTAAATGGTGTGATAGAAGCACTAAGCACCATAGCATTTTGGAAAAAGACTTGATTTACTTCAAGTACCAGGAGATTGGGATTCTTGGCTAAGGGATCTTTAACCCTACACTTTTCTACCACAGGGCCTTGTTAACACATTCAACAGGAGAAATCAGTCCGTGGAATCTTTTTTTTTCACCCAGGCTGGAATGCAGTGTGCTATCTAGGCTCACTGCAACCTCCACCTCTCGGGCTCAAGTGATCCTCCTACCTCAGCCTCCCGAGCAGCTGAGACTACAGGCACACACCACCATACCTGGTTAATTTTTGTATATATATTTTTTCACCATGTTGCCCAGGCTGGTCTCAAACTCCTGAGCTCAAGTAATCTGACTGCCTTGGCCCCCCAAAGTGCTGGGCTTACAGGCTGAGCCGATGCGCTTGGCCAGTAATAATCTTAATACTATAAAGTTCTTGTTGTTAGTTCATGGGGGAAAGTATTTTCTTATCTCCACTTCTGAAACTGATTGATAACTGGACTTGGAAATCTTTCCAAACATCAGATGTAGTTTGAAGTCACCACAAAGTCACATTTAAAGACCATTTTTAAACCTAAAAAGGGCAAAAAAGGAGCCAGCCTCTCAAAGTGTAGAGGTGTTCATTTACCCAAAGCATATTATTATTAGTTGGATTATTATTATAGACCATAATATGCCTGTCATAAGCAGACTGTTTTTGTTGACTTTCTTGACCTTCTGGGGTAGGTAGTGCCACCTCCTTGGAAGAAAGATCCTTTTCGTGATGCCAGGGCAATGATTAACACATGGAAAATTGGAGCAAATGAAACTGCAATTAATACTGCTCAAACAGATTGCAGAGTATGATGAAGAACTTGGATGTCATTTTATTGCAGCCTCTCCTGGGGACACCATTATTTTATCACCTTTGACTTTTGGATGTATAGCTCCATTTGACATCTCTTGTCTTTTCCTGCTTTCTTTCTTTATTCTTCCCAGTGGGAGTTAGATGAAGAATGTCTGGCTTGCAGAAGCCAGACTTGGCCATTCTGGGAGATGTGCAGACTTTCAGATTGGCTTTGACAGTCTTACAGAGCTGTTCCCAGGATATGAAGCACAGCTGCAAAGCAGGCAGTTCGGCTTTGCCTTCTCTTACTTTCAAGATGTGTGATGGGAGGCGGGGAACATACAACCCCCAGCTGCTTAGACTCTTCTTTATCCAGAATTCCCCTTCCTTTATCTTTGGAGGCTTCAGATATCACTCAGTTGACTGATTAAATATCAGGTGATAGGAATCTATCTCTATGGTGGAATATATGAGGAGATAGTTTTGAGCAGGGACGCCTTCGAGTTCTTGCTTGCTCTAGTTTAGTGCTTCTCAAAAGGTGGTCCATCCACAGATGTTGTCAATATCATCTTGGAACTTGTTAGAAATGCGAATGCCCCACCTCAGACGTACCCAGACTATCCAGGGGGAGCCCAGAATCTATTTTCACAAGCTCTTTGGATAATTCTTACCCATACTACATTTTGCTCTAGCCAATACTTTTCTAAGCTTCCTTCAGCTTAAACCCTCCTGTCCTTTACTTCCTAGCTTATCTGCTGCAGGCAGTAGAATCCATTAGATGTAAGCTCCATGAAGACAGTGATCGCATATGTACTGTTCACTGCTCTTGTCCTCATCATAACCAGGCACAGAAGAGCTGATCACTAAGTAGTCATTAAATAAACAAGTGATTGGCATAAGCATTTGAACAAGGTGAAGAGACCACACTGTCTGTTTACAAAGTTGAAGAAGTCAATGCTGTCTTAGTCTTTCTTGGCCCTGAGGCAGTATTGCATGTGGCCATGGACCTAGACACTACTAGCCATTTATAGGCTGTCAGTTACTATGTAGCCAGGAGGATCCCCCCAGTGTCATCTCTTACCCTTTAAACTACACGAAAAAGCTTTGAAATGAAGTCCTTGAGCCAGAAAAGGATACCAGCCCCACTGTTAAGTGATGATTGTGTGCTAAAGCAGCCTAAGAGTTCTATCCTAACACAAGAGCCTAGAAAGTAACTTCTTAGGCAGTGTCCAAAGAATGCCAGTAGTCCTTGGGGACTTTTCAGAGGTGCTTGGCTTGAATCAATTTCTAGATCCCAAAGCAGAGTCTTCATGCACATTTTGCGGCTGTAGTGTACAGCAAATGGCTCTTGGCTAGGTTTAGAATGCTGCTTTTACCATTCTCTGTACCTGACCCAGTTTGAGTCTCCTTATGACACTTGGCTTCCTCCAGATGGAAATTTTGAAGCCTTTTTGGACTTTTATTGTACTTATTCTTGATTGCCACGTCTCATTTGGATTCCCCAGACTCTGATTAGAGGCACTGCCACCAGGAGAGATTTTATCTAACCAATAGTACTTCCAGGAAGATCCTCACCCTTGTACTTTCAAGAAGCACTTGTAATTAATGTTCAGCTTCCTGAACACTGAGTGGTACTTGAAAATCTCTGTGGTTTATAGCCTTACAGAAGCTACTCTGGAGGCTGAGGCAGGAGAATCGCTTGAACCTGGGAGGCAGAGGTTGCAGTGAGCCGAGATCACGCCGTTGCACTCCAGCCTGGGCGACAGAGTGAGACTCCATTTCAAAAAAAAAAAAAATAGCATTTTAATTTACATTAATAAGTCTATTTGACAGAGGGCAGTCCCTACTCACTTGAATTTTTAGCCTGAAGAAAGGACAAAGAGCATTTAAAACAGATTTCTCAGCTTAGATAGTTGTACAAAATTGGTTAACTGAAGCTTGGGGGAGATTCCGAAATCATCAGGGACCAGGCTGCAGAGCAGCCTTGGGCTTGCCCTTGTAATACCTTACACAGACCTCTTTCCTCTTAGAAATGCTACCTTTATCCCTGTGCCAGTCAGTAGACTGAATAGCATCTATATGGGAAGTTGGCTTGCTTGGCTTGTGTGGGTCTCCTCCCTATACCTCTGCCTTACATCCTTCTCTTCTTTGTGTCTACCAACTTCCTTGATTCCAAGGCTGGTTTCTCTTTTGCTCACCTAGTCCTCATCATTGGGTCAAAAGGCACCTTGGAAGCTAGTATAGCCTGTTTCCATATTTGGGAATCGCTTCTCCATTGACCATGACATGCTTGGACCCAGACCACTTTCAGTTAACCACTTTCTGCTGCAGAAGACAACTGCTGAGAGAAGACGTTCTTTTCACTAGAATGGCAGCCGTAGTTTGTTGTGTTCCTTTTCTGTTGGCCAGGAAACCCCACCACAGCTGCTGTGCATCTTATTGTCAAAGGACCATTCCTTCTTCCCATCAGGCAGGTCCAGCTAGGAACAAGGCACCTCCACGTTGTACCATGTGCCTTCTCACTGTTGGGATGGGGAGCCCTTTCAAGGACCATAGCTAGCAGGGGATATGACAGTAAATGCAGATAGCCCAGAATGCCAGTCAGCCTAGGGATGGTCATGTATAGACACAGTACTTCATCTTTTAGATAGCAGCTTCCACTGCTGTGCCCATACCATGTCTGGTTTCATCACTTTGAAGGATACCCCAGACTTAATTCACAAAGGAGGCATCCTGTTGAGTTTGAGCAGTATTGATAAAGTACAGTGTGTGGTAGTTGGAGTACTTTAGTGCTTGGGGTCTATGGCATAGGGCAGAAGTGATAGTAATCCAGGTGGAGTGAGCAGAAGGATAGGATGATTGAGATATGTGTGAGGTATGTGCATATTCAGTGGTAGTGGGTATGATTAGATGCTGGACCAGATATTCCTGCCTTCAAAGGTTCTCCCAAGCTTTGTCATGATCTAGAAAACATTGGAGAACCTTGGATGGGAATTTGCAACCTCAAGGACCCTGAAGTTTAATTCACACCAGCGTAGAAAGTTTAGGCTTGACCTGACCTTTTTGGACCAAGCTTCACATTGATCTGCCTTCTGATCATAGGCATGTTGCCACCCTGTGGTGGGTAACGGCCCAGTAATGGCAGCTGCTTCTTTTACAGAAAGACGAGAGGACCTTCGAGGAGGATTTATGCTTTGCTTTTTGGATGATGGAGCAGGAATGGATCCAAGTAAGTGATGAGATTATTGTTTTGGGGGGTGGGGGGGTGCGATGTAACCATTTTTACAAAATACTTATTGTGTGAACTTGTTTTTCTGTTGCCTCCAATGTTATGTCTAGAAGATCCACCTGGGGAGTAAGAAGTCTGTTGCAACATCTCAGGCTTAATTCTACTAATGTATTTGCCAGGTCTTGTCCTAACATGGGAGATAGGATCTGAAAGGCAATCTTAAGTCAATCAGATTACCTGTCTCTTGGCGTTGTATTTATCAGCTTGCACAACATTCTCGAGCTGGACCTACAGATGCCTCTGCTAGCTGTCTTACCACATTCTGGGAATAGAACATAGGTCACAGTGATAGAGGTACCAACAGGCCAGGCAAAGCTGTGCCTCCATGTGCTTCATGGTGGTGAATTTCCTTGGAGAGAGGTTTTCAGCAGATACACACCCCTGCTTGGATTTAACAAGGCTCAGACCTTTGACTTTGAGGACCCTGGGAAAGAAATGCAAACTTTTCACTTTCTCTTGTGTCTGCCCTTTCAGGTGATGCTGCCAGTGTGATCCAGTTTGGGAAGTCGGCCAAGCGAACACCTGAGTCTACTCAGATTGGGCAGTACGGGAATGGGTTAAAATCGTAGGTATATTAGAAGCTTGTCACAGGGCTCAAACAAAATCCAGCAATGCTGTCCTGCTTCTCTTGGATGAAAACTTTCCTTCTCCTTGTCCCTCTATTGACTATAATTCTGGAACTGGAAGAAGTCAGAAAGTGGTGGTTTCTGGAGTAGCTTACCAGCTGTTCCCAGCTGAATTTACTCCACAGATTGAAAAGTATGAACATCCAAAAACAGGGCAGGAGAGGCTGTACGTTTCTCTTGGCACAGTGCTCTAGAACTGCACCTCTCCTGTTGAAAATTCTTATTTTTACCCTGTAGTCAAGGATGTGAGTGATTCTCTTGTGGTGTTGGGATGTATCTGAGATGATGAAGGGGTCACCTTACTGTGCAGCAGTGTTCCCTGAGCACCTGCTGCATGTCATGCTTTGTGCCAGGCACTGGGGATCCAGGGTAAGGAAGAGAGATGTGAGCCCTCCGTCCCAGAGGATGCTGAATGTACTGCAAGGCCCTTATAGCAGGGACCTACCTAATGTCTTCAAATCCCATGGGACTTTTTCTTAGCCTTAGTTCCCAGTTGGTTAGTGTTTGGAATGTGTTGTTCTGGTTTTGAGTGAAGCCCCAAGAGAAAGGTTTCTATTTCTGAAATGCTCACTTCCAGCTGTACATACCTTTGGATGGAATAAGATTTAGTGGAATTGGAGTTTGTGCAAATGGAATTGTGAGTCACGTTTCCAGTCTTGTCGTGGAAATGTGTTGTTTTGTTTGAGGGAGGGTGGTGGTTTGATCAGTCAGCAGCATCAGTTGGGCCTTGTGTGCAGTTGTGCTTTGGGTGTATGGAGAAGAAAGAGAGTACTTCCGAAGAAATCAGGACCTGGTATCCGGACTTTGTGATTTGTCTTTCAGGGCAGGAACCAAATGGTAATAACAGACACTTACCATGTGCCAGGCACACGAATAATCTCATTTAATCCTCATGATAGCCCTGTGAGGTTGTAGGTACTATTATTTTCAGATGAAGAAATTGAGGTTTATAAGGGTGAAGTTACTTTCCCAAAGGCATTAAAAATGCCTATGTGTAGAGCGCTAGGGTAGGAACCAGGTCTTTCTGACTGCAAAATGGAGCTGCTGTGCATTTCACTTAAATGACAAGCTAAGGTTCAAATCTCACTTCCGCTACTACGTCTCTAAGCCTCAGCTTCCTCCTTTGTAAATTGAGATGATAATGCATACCAAGTAGGTTAAGAATTACATGCTATCATTGCTGTGAGAGCCTGGTTTCTGCCTTTATTTCTCCTCCTTTGATGTTTCCATGGCAGATTGCTGGCCTGATTCAGTGGATCTGGGTAGGGGCTAGGAATGTGTTTTTCACAGATGAAATGAATCACCTGTAATCATATGATTCTAATGCAGGTTATCTAAATCCCCCAAAACTGAAGTCTCCTAGAATCAGGGGAAGCCCTGACTTTTCATCTAGATTGTAGATCAGCCTCCTCCTACCTGGTTCTGTCAGTTCTGTGGCCTCAGGCAAGCCATTTCACCTCTCTGAATGTCTGTTTCTTAATGGCCTCAGGCAAGCCATTTCACCTCCCTGAATGTCTGTTTCTTACTCTAGAAAATGGGGTTCTAATCTCTGACATTTATAGAGTGAGGTTCAGAAGCAAATGAAATGTGACTCTGAAAGTGGTTAGCAGACTGGGAAGGAAAGCGTATAGAAGTTGAGAGTGTTATTAGCGTATTTCAGTGGAAGACTTTTGTGAAGGTCCCATTGAGATGGAGCCATCTAGTGTTCAGAGTAGACAGTAAAATCATCTTGAAACCAATTCAGAAGTTGAATAAGTTTCAGGAGAAGGTGATTTGTGGGGAGAATAGGGCTGAGAAGCAAGGAAGCCAGTTAGAGAAGTGATATTTGGGGCTTTTGCTATTCAAAGGCTAAAGTCAGAATCAAAGACAGAAGGAAGATAGAGGCACAAAGTGAGAGTTTTTGCCAAATTAGGGCAAGGGCATGCTTTGACAGAAGGCAAGATAACGTGCCTTACTTGCTCCCCATACGCTTTAGGGAAGGAGGAGGAGGTGGTGTGTGAAATTTTCAGGGCAAGGAGCATTGCCAGCACTTTGGGTACTGGAGGAGGAGAACGAGGACTTGGCAGCCCCCAGGGTATCTTTGAATAGTGTCCTGGGAGTTTTCCTGAGTGTTTGGGGAAATGGGGCATGACATTCATTTGTGTGCTTGGCATGCCAGTCTGGTTTGTATTGGTACACAGAAGAGAGTAATGAGGCTTTCCACCTCCATCATCTCCCTGGGGTGTTATAAAGACTAATGAGATAATAGCCATAAAGCTCCAGAAGCTGCTGGAAGAAAGGAGCTGAACAGCCCCATTGTTCAGAGGGCGGTCCCCCTGCTGGTGCTTCACACTTCTGCCCTGCCCTGCGTTGCCTGGAAAGGCCTGTCCCTGCCTGCTTCTTAGCCAGCTTAATGTGGCCAAACAGAGGAAGGAAGCAGTTGAATCCATTCAGACTTTTGCCTTTTGGAAATCAGCCTCAAGGCACAGTTCCCAGAAACCAGTTGCATCCAAAAGCAGGGAGCTGCCTGTGTCATAATGAGCTTGAGGTGGCAAAACACTTCTGGGACAGGAGATAGCTCCAGTTATTGGACATGAGCTA
This sequence comes from Homo sapiens, assembly GCF_000001405.40. Lineage (NCBI taxonomy): Eukaryota > Metazoa > Chordata > Mammalia > Primates > Hominidae > Homo > Homo sapiens. Next base: position 30,947,110 of record NC_000022.11, on the reverse strand, counting down.
ATTACAGGCATCCTTGAATCCTGTGGTCAAGAATTATATTTTATTAGCCCCTCTGTATTACTGCGCCTTGGGTTCATACTGATGTTTTCTCGGGCTTGTGAGTATAGGCACTGGGCTTTTCACTTAACAGTGCTGCTGCCGTTTCGTCAATGGAGGGGAGTTTGTGTCAGCTGAGGAAGGACACGGTGGGAACTGGGGGTGGTCAGCATGGAAGATGACGTGTTGAGGGTACCAGCTACTAAAGTCTGATGGTGGTACAGTCAGAGGGCACAGCACCTCTCATGCGTCTGGGATGAACCAAGAGCTCAAAGACAGCAGGGTTACTCTTCAGCGTTGTGGGGGGAGTGAGACTAACCTGGGGCTGGTGGTCTGCCGTGAGCCCGCCCTAGAAGGGTGGTGAGAGAACCCTGTATGGTGTGGTTGAGAACGTTGTAAGTAAAGACTAAGGAGTTACAGGCCTGTGGAAAAGCAGAGGAAGGAGTGTTGGGGGATGGAGAGGGAACGAGGGCTGTGGAACTCAGCACACAGTCCTGGGACCTGGGGGGGCCTTTAGGAGAGCCCTCCAGTGGCACTTTCAATCATGTCCAGAGTGGATTGATTTCTTTTGCAGATGAGCTTTTGACTCCTGGGAGAATAACACCCATTTCTGTTTCCTTTTCAGGGGCTCAATGCGCATTGGGAAGGATTTTATCCTGTTCACCAAGAAGGAAGACACCATGACCTGCCTCTTCCTGTCTCGCACGTTTCATGAGGAAGAAGGCATTGATGAAGTAGGTCCCATCATCGTGGTCTGCATCACCAGTCCTCATTTCCTGAGTCTGCCCAGGCGGTTTTCGTAGGTTATTTGCAATGCTAGACTCTTTGGGGTTGCAGGATTGGAGCACATTCCCCCTAATTGTTATGCAGTTAGCTGGCTGGATGAATTGGTTGAGGGGTTAAGGTAGATAACTTTAATGTGAGAGGAAGCAAAATCTCAGAGCACTTCAGAGAACAACTGTTTCCGAGAATGAGACTGTCAAGTGGCAGGAATTAAGAGTTGGATTTGCAGCTCCTCTAGATCTGCCACTTGAATTCCATTTTGGGGGGAGTGTTACCATGGAACATTGTTTTATCAGGGGGAGTATTTTGGGCTTCCCTGATCATGGTGTTTCCTATTTGGTGGTGATTTTGTGGAATGTGCTATGAGCTCATTTTCCTTTTGAAGAAATGTGTTACTCTATGTCAGAAACTATGACTCAGATACCTAGAGAGAGCCTGGGCAGGTAGTAAAGCAGGTGAGTGTATGGAGAACAGGAAAACAGAGCTGATGCTGTGGGTCTCGTCTTGGGAGTGGCTGCTACACAGCCCCAGTGATTACTGCTATGCTGGAAGGAAGGACTAATGAATCCAGAATATTCTGAGTTTAAATCATTTTAGTAATTGACTATGTAAGCTAAACACACATTTGGCCGATTCTCCTTGTGGCTCAGATGTCTGCAGAGCTGTTTCTGGTGAGGTCTATGCCCCCTCATTGTGGGAGATCAGGGCAGCTCTGTGGACTACCCAGCCTCAGACTGGACTCTTATCTCCTTTCCTATGTAAGACATGGAGGCCAGGGCTTGAAAGAAGGGGGGCTAAGAGGTTCTGTGGAAAGAAATCCGCAACTTCCACAGAAGCAGGTAATTGAATTCAGACTTACAATTTAATTCATCTGTGTTGATTAGCTGTGATTAAATTTGTTCTGGTTCTGTTTAGATCTGAGCCTTAATCATAGCAAACTTGTTCAGGTAGGGAATGGTAGGCCTTCCGTCATTACGTAGCAAGCCAGTGGGTTTGTCTGCCTTTTTGGTGTGGTATGTGAGTTCATTCTGCATACTTGAGTGAGAGAAGCGTGGCAGCTGGAAAGAGCAGGCTTCTAGGAGAAGTAGGATAGGAAAATATAGCCTGGGTTGGGGTTTTCAGGAATGTTTCCTGATACAGGACTGAGGATGGTGACAGGAGGGTATGGAAGTCAGTAGAAGCAGCCTGCTTAAGGCCCTGAGGGCTGTGGGAGGGGACTTGGCTGCAGGGCCACCTGGAGAAAGGTGGTGGCCTTTGGAGATCAGAGAGGGCCAGGTTAGGCTTGACCTCGGGGCCTTGATGAATGTGTGGGGCTTTATTAAGCAAGGATGTGCCAGTATCAGATTCTTTTAAGAAGGTCCATGTAGCGATTGTGTGGTGATTGGGTTGGAAAGGTTAGGGTGAGTGTTGGAGTGTTCCAGTTGAGAGGCCCAGGCTCTGTAGCTTGGCGGTACTCGCCCAAGGGAGGTGAGAGAAATACATGGAGTTTCCATCTCTTTAGGATGTGGGACCCACAGATTTGGTGATTGATTGATTAGTAGAAGGCGAAAGCGAAGCAGGGGAGTCATGGATGACTCATAGGTTCTGCTGTGGCAGTTGGGGAGTGGGGTCTCTGGAATTGGGAAGAATGAAGAGGGGAAGTATGGAGGGGAAGAGTGTAAGTTTCTTCTGGACATGCAAAGTGCAGTCTGGGTCTGGCATTTGGGGGAAGTCTGGGGGCTTCAGCATTCTTGGTAGCAAACGAGGTCACCTAATGGAGAGAATAGAGTGAGAAGAGGATCTGGGACCTAGAGCATGTCAATATCTAAAGGTCGGGGAGAGGAGAAGGGGGCCAGAGGGACAAAGGGGTAGCCAGAAAGGTAGGAAGAAAACTGGGCAAGTGTACCATTGAACTAAAGGAGAAGTGTTCCTGAGGGGAGGGATGGGGTGCCCATGGGAGTGAAAGCCAATGTTTAAAGTGATGCCATTGTCACCTGGGATGGCTGTGAAGAATGGGAGGCGTAGTGAGGTACAGGTTTATAGAACACAAATGGAACTCGGTTCCCGTGGTGGAGAGGCTAGGTTGAGATTTTTTCCTTACTTGGTGCTAGAAGGTCGCTATTTTGGATTGTACTCTAGTGCAAACTCAGCCAAGATTTCAAAATAAGATCATTTTCAGTTGAGGAGGAATGTGTCCAGACCAGCCCTTGGGTTGAATAGTTGCAGCACAAAGCTTCTTAGAAACCAGCAAAATGGGCCGGGCCTGGTGGCTCACGCCTATAATCCCAGCACTTTGGGAGGCTGAGGCGGGCAGATCATGTGGTCAAGACCATCCTGACCAATATGGTGAAACCCCGTCTCTACTAAAAATAGAAAAATTAGCTGGGCATGGCAGTGTACGCCTAGTCCCAGCTACTTGAGAGGCTGAGGCAGGAGAATCACTTGAACCCAGGAGGCGGAGGTTGCAGTGAGCCGAGATCGTGCCATTGGTGGAGGTTGCATTGAGCTGAGATCATGCCATCGCACTCCAGCCTGGGCAACAAGAGCAAGACTCCGTCTCAAAAAAAATAAAATAAAAAAACCCAGCAAAATGTCTCAGAACTCTTAACAGTTTGTCACCCCAGCACTTGTTAAGATTACAGAGTCCCTTTTTCCTAAGGGTTTGAACCCCTGAGGTGCTTAGCCTGGCCTGCTCTGCAGAGGAAATCCTTCAGGCAGCCATCTGCAGGGCTCTGCAAGGGCTGCGGCCTCATAACCACCGAGGGAGGAGCCTCTGGGGAAGTGGCATATGAGGTTGGGTTTTTGAAGAAAGAGTAGGATTTTTTTAAAACATCACTTAGACATTATTTAAATTAAATTTCACATAAATGGAAGAGTGTATTGAAATATTTATGCAGTTCAGAGGACAATTTTAAAGGCAACACCTGTGTTGCCACCATCACAGACTGATGTTAGAAGTGTCCTGTGTGCCCTCATCAGTCATATTTCTTCTTGTGCCCCCGAAGGAACTGCCTTCAGGTAACTTTTGTGATAATGATTTCCTTCTTTTTCACTATAGTTTGTCACCCTTGTATGCATTTTTAAATAATAGTTTAGTTTTGCCTATTTGTGAATTTTTTAGAAATGGACTCTTACTGTAGGTATTTTTTGTATCCTATTTCATATAACACTGTGTTTATGTTGTTCATCCATGTTGATGCTAGTAGTGGTTAGTTCATTTGTATCACTATATAGTGTTCCATTGTACAGTTTAATTTGGCCACTCTAGAATGGATATTTGGGTTATTTTTATTTATTTATTTATTTTTGAGATGGAGTCTTGCTCTGTTGCCCAGGCTGGAGTGCAGTGGCACGATCTCAGCTCACTGCAACCTCCGCCTCCCAGATTCAAGCAATTCTCCTGTCTCAGCCTCCTGAGTAGCTGGGGCTACAGACGCACGCTGCCACGCCCGGCTAATTTTTTGTATTTTAGTGGAGACCGGGATTCACCATGTTGCCCAGACTGGTCTCAAACTCCTGAGCTCAGGCAGTCCATCCACCTCAGCCTCCCAAAGTGCTGGGATTACAGACATGAGCCACTGCACCAGGCCTGGGTTATTTTTGTACATGTTTACTGGTACATATGTACAAAAGTTTCTCCTAGGGTATGTACCTAGGAGTGGAATTGCTGAGTTTTAGGTTATGTTATGTGTATTTACTGATTCACTAGATAATTGCAAATATATTTTCCCTAGTGGTAAGAGTAGAATTTTTACCAAATTAAGAAAATGACCAGGGACGTCCCAAGCAGGGAACTTCTCATGCAGAGACCCTAAGCACATAAACCAACATCTCCTGAAGGAAGTAGTCTTGTGTGGCTGAGTCTTGGGAAGAGGCAGAAGCCCTGAAGCTCACAGAGCCTCTGGTGCCAGGCTGTGGAGCTTGGGCCTCACCTACAGGGCAGTGTGGAGCTGCTGTGGGGAGGGACAAGAGAGATGCACATTTGGGAGGAAGGCTGTTCTGGGGCTTCCCTTAAAGTGCCTGCTCATGTTTACTCCACAGGTGATAGTCCCACTGCCCACCTGGAATGCTCGGACCCGGGAACCTGTCACAGACAATGTAGAGAAATTTGCCATTGAGACAGAACTCATCTATAAGTACTCTCCATTCCGCACTGAGGAGGAAGTGATGACCCAGTTTATGAAGATTCCTGGGGACAGCGGTAAGTAGGCTTTGAGCCTGTAGCCCCTAGAATCTGGGAGCTCCAGAATCACAAGTAGTGTGGGGGTGGGCCGGGGGATCTGGCAGGACAAAAGATTTCTGTTTCTCAGGAACATTGGTGATCATCTTCAATCTCAAACTCATGGATAATGGAGAGCCAGAACTAGACATAATCTCAAATCCAAGAGATATCCAGATGGCAGAGACGTCCCCAGAGGGCACGTGAGTGTGGCTGGGAAGGGAGGGAGGCCCTGGAACTGGCGTTTGTGCTCTCAGGAGATGGCTTCAGGGAAAGAGGGGAGAGCACATTCATTGCCCAGTGTTCTGTGGTAGGGTAGTATGTAGGGCCAGCTCAGTTGCCTGTGGGGTGCCTGTGCTGAGGACGTGAGAGGGGCGGGATGTGGTGCTCACACTAAGGGAGCACCAGTTCAGGGCAGCAGCAGAAGTCAGTACCTAACATGGAAAGGTGGAGAGCCTGCAGAGAGGATGTTGTGCCCTTGGTCAGGCCTGTTGTGGAGCAGGTGACAGCACTTCTCTGTTTTTGCCCTCTCCAGGAAGCCAGAGCGGCGCTCGTTCCGTGCCTATGCCGCTGTGCTCTATATTGATCCCCGGATGAGGATCTTCATCCATGGGCACAAGGTGCAGACCAAGAGGCTCTCCTGCTGCCTGTACAAGCCCAGGTAGGGGCCAGTGCCCCTTGGCCTGCTGTCTCCCATGGGTCGAGGATGTGGCCGCGTTTCTCTGGGGCATTGTTAGAGGGATGCTGTATAAGAGGCTCTGGCAGTGCTGACTACGTTTGGGACTTTAAGTTGCCTGTGATTGGTCACAGGGTCAGTTCTGGGTCCTAGAGGAGGGACAGATCAGCTGTGGAGGTGGCTGGCTAAGCTCATTGAGTATGTGTGCCTCTGTGACAGGGAGGGTGCCCTGCCTGGCTCAGTGAGCTGTCTGAGTCTCTTGGCTTTAGGGCCAAGGGGCCTTTAGACACTATATAGGAAAGCAGTGGGCTTGGCTTACTCCTGAGGTTTGTTTCTGCTGTGGGATGAATGACAACCCTGGTGAATGGTGAGGTTGCTTATCAAAGACAGCAGGAGGCTAAGGGCAAGTGGAATAAGGAACTGCACCTTTTTGCTGAATTGAGCTTGGATTTGTCTCATCATGAGGGGCCAGGACAGCACAGCTTGGGAGGAGGCAGGAAGGCAGGGTGCTTCCTGTGCTTGGGTGTGCCACCTGCCCCACTGCTGCGTGGGCCATCAGCTTGCTTTTTCTACTGATCAGGATGTACAAGTACACGTCAAGCCGTTTCAAGACCCGTGCGGAGCAGGAGGTGAAGAAAGCAGAGCACGTAGCAAGGATTGGTAATGCCACTCTGGGTGCAGGAGTTGGGGGGGTGTGCATCTGGGGTATGCTGCTTGTGGGCAAAGTGGGGTTCCAGGAAAAGGCTGAGTCCACAACTCAGGGACAAGGCTGGTCTCCTGAAGCATAGTTCAGTTCCTTTGCAGCCCCTTTCACTACATGCCAACTCCCTCAGCATTTCTTCTTTCTACACTCCACTTTCTCTTCTTCTGCCATTTATAGGGCCTAAAAGTGTCAGCTCTTTGGCTTATCCCAATTGAAGAATCCCACTGAGTTCTCTGGTGCAAATACTTGTGAAATTGCTTTTCCTGACTTCAGGGCAAACATCTCAGGGGCTCTCTCGCTGTTCAGGGTTTCTCAGGGTTTCTCGGCTGCTTGTTGGAGAGTGATTGGCTGAAGACTTCTTTAGCTTCCAGCTCAAGCTGAGTGTTCAACTGGTTGCCTTAGGTGTTTTTTTTTTTTTTTTAAACCTGTTCTGGTTCATTTGTAAAGTTTCCTTGGGGCCTCCGTGATAGGTTTGAATGCCAGATTTTCCTTCTGTGACTGACTGCCGTCCAGGCACAGAGGCTGCCCTCACATTGCTCACCAGCCATAGCTCCCCCTACTCTTTTTTTCCTTGGTGGTGTACACACTTCGTGTCCAGTACTGTGGATCCAGGAGGGATGACCAAGAGTTTTGAACCTTTGCATTTCTTACCATGTTCTCTTCTGGGTTTCAGCTGAAGAGAAGGCGCGGGAGGCAGAGAGCAAAGCTCGGACATTAGAAGTACGCCTAGGTGGAGACCTCACGCGGGACTCCAGGGTAAGGTCCCGGCCCAGGCGGCTGTTCTCCAGCGTTTCTGGCACTAGGAGCCCATGTCCCATGAGCCTGGTCAAGTAAAACACAGCTTTTGAGTTTGTCCCCAGTGAGGGCTGTTTTCTGTAGAAAGAAGTAAATTTCCAGGTGTGGTTTTACATCTTTGAGATAAATTGAGATGTCTTAGATGTAATGTTTCAATATTCCCTGCTGTGGCCTAGAGTGCCACCTCCCCTCACCTGATGTCAATGTGTGCAGGTGATGTTGCGACAGGTCCAGAACAGAGCCATCACTCTGCGCAGAGAAGCCGATGTCAAGAAGAGGATCAAGGAGGCCAAGCAGCGGTGAGTGCCAGGCCTGTCCTTGGATCTTTTAAACTGACGTAGCTTTTGGACTGATTATTGACAGGTTGCTATTCTGTCACCAAGACTGCTTTGTTTTAATGCCAAATGCTTGTCAAATGCCTCCTGCAGGAGGGAAGTCTTAATCCTAGCTCTCAGCCCTTTTTTGAGTCATAAAGACAGGGCAGGGCTGACAACCTCGGCTCGAGCACCAAAACCATCCTTTGGCACTGTCTTACCTTTTCTTCCCTTTTTCTTTCTTTCTTTTCATTTAAAGGATGTATAAAATGCTCATTGTATGAAACTTGAAAAATATAAAATGTTTAAGGAGTAACATTTTTAAACTCCCTTATACTTCTACCACCTGGTGATACGACCCTATTTTTTATGTTACATATATATTTTTTCATATTCATTTTCTCCTCAGTGGTTATGTATGTAGAATAATGCTGGAGATTGAGTGTTGTATACTTTTGCATTTAGAACCAGCATTTGTCCTGGATCATTAAGTTTCCTGCTTGTCCCACCTCCATGTCTGGATCCTCTTTGGACTCTGTGGCTTGATTCACTGTTTTGCCTCTTGTTGGCCTCCTTGGCACAGGCATGGGTTTCAGGTTTTTTCTCTCCAAGTCAGTCCACTCCTCATCCATCTGCTTTTCAGCTCTAAGTTTTTGTTGATAGTAATCACATGATGGTGTCTTATTGCACATGCTTATTATTCTTGTGAATTTTTGCCTTTTAAAATAATAATAATTGGCCGGGCACGGTGGCTCACGCCTGTAATCCCAGCACTTTGGGAGGCTGAGGTGGGTGGATCACGAGGTCAGGAGATCGAGACCATCCTGGCTAACACAGTGAAACCCTGTCTCTACTAAAAATACAAAAAATTAGCCGGGCATGGTGGCGGGCACCTGTAGTCCCAGCTACTTGGGAGGCTGAGGCAGGAGAATGGTGTGAATGCAGGGTGCGGAGATTGCAGTGAGCGGAGATCGCACCACTGCACTCCAGCCTGGGCGACAGAGCAAGACTATGTCTCAAAAAAAAATTATAATAATTTACTATCATACTAGTGGAATTTTGGGGAAGGTATGACGATAACCTGGTGTTTATTCCAACATATAATTGTCTTTGCACAGATTTGCAGCAGCTTCGTAATAAACAATTCATATTTAATGAATATGAATGGTTTGGCAACCATCCCTGTTGCCAAAAAGCCACACTCATGTTTTTAATTAGGGATGCTTTGAGTTGGTGCCCAGTGCATGTCCATATCAAGTCTAACAGGTTACACATCAAATAGAGATACAAAACTTTTGGCTTAACATGTTTCAAGTTTAAGCTTAAGCTTAACACATCTTAAACACTATGGTGCTTGTGTGCCGATGTGTAGATCTGCTTGAGTTTTTTTGTCTTCTTAGAGCACTTAAAGAACCTAAGGAACTGAATTTTGTTTTTGGTGTCAACATTGAACACCGGGATCTGGATGGCATGTTCATCTACAACTGTAGCCGACTGATCAAAATGTATGAGAAAGTGGGCCCACAGCTGGAAGGGGGCATGTGAGTACTACCCACAGAGAGCTGTCTAGCCCAGGATAGTTGGCAGGAGGGCGTTGCCAGTGGGGTGACAGAGCTTGTTCTCTTTCTCCCTGTAGGGCATGTGGCGGGGTTGTTGGGGTTGTTGATGTGCCCTACCTGGTCCTGGAGCCTACACACAACAAACAGGACTTTGCTGATGCCAAGGAGTACCGGCACCTGCTCCGAGCAATGGGGGAGCACCTGGCGCAGTATTGGAAGGATATTGCCATCGGTAATGGGGCTGGGCTGCTGGGCCTCTGCCTTTTCTCTTCACCTGAATGTAGGGAGAGAGAGAGGCTGGCTCCTAACATGATGTATCGGTGTTTGCTTTCCAGCCCAGAGGGGAATCATCAAGTTCTGGGATGAGTTTGGCTACCTCTCTGCCAACTGGAACCAGCCCCCATCCAGTGAGCTGCGTTACAAACGCCGGAGAGCTATGGAAATCCCCACCACCATCCAGTGCGGTGAGTTGGGTGGTTGGACCCCCCCGACTCATTTCCATCAGCCCACAAGCCTCTTTTCTCTATCTTCCTGCCAGCCTCCTAACTTGACTGACATTCATGGACTTACAGTCCCCTAGGGATCCAAGTCTGTTTGACGATGGCCCTGTGAGCTCAGTCTTGAGGCTTTGCTGAGTTTCACCTGTCCCTCTTGAGTGAGAAAGAAGGTCATCTGTCCTCCCAGGCCTCTCCAGCTGCAGCCAGGCCAGGCTCACTTGGTTTGGTACCACATGGTTTCTGGTGTGCGTGGATGACTGAGCCAGGATCTTGATAAAAAAGGGAGAGGGGCTGGGGGTGTTAAGAGTCCAGCATATTAAGTTTCCATCCTTCCTGGAATCAGTGTCCCTGAGAAGAATTAGTATTCTCTAAGGATAGGCAGAGTTGGAGCCCGAGTGAAGATCTTTGCCTACAAAGTCTGGGGCATCATTGTGGTGGGCCTGTGAGGAACCCGGATTACAGATAGAGTTGGTGGGCGTGGCTGATATGTGGGGTTTTTTTGCTCTCTGCAGATTTGTGTCTGAAATGGAGAACCCTCCCCTTCCAGCTGAGTTCTGTGGAAAAAGATTACCCTGACACCTGGGTTTGCTCCATGAACCCTGATCCTGAACAGGACCGGTGAGCACATTGTCTAACAAGGGGATTGTGGGTACTTTTCTCCCCTGCCCCTCACTGTGTTTCTTGAGGTCAGTGCACATACCTTACATCTCTGTCTTGCCACACCTAATAACTGCCCAAGAAATAAAAATAGATGTATGTCCTGCAGTGTATAAGATTAATTCTGTGCATTGGGAACTCTGAGGTGGTTGCTCTTGTGACAGACAGTGTAGACTGGCTGAAGAGAAAGGTCCTTGCCGAGCTTGGCGCTCTGTTTGCCACGACCTCTGTAGTACCTTGTCTCTACAGGTGTGAGGCTTCTGAACAAAAGCAGAAGGTTCCCCTGGGAACATTCAGAAAGGACATGAAGACGCAGGAAGAGAAGCAGAAACAACTGACAGAGAAAATTCGCCAGCAGCAGGAGAAGCTGGAGGCCCTTCAGGTACGTGGGTCATGGTCAGTGGGCAAAGCCAGCCTGTGTCAGGGCTCTGCCTGTGACAGGAACCTTCAGTAGCTTTCCTGTTCCCTCAGGCTCAGTTTTACCCTCCACTCACCCGCGTTGTTTGCCAAAGCTTTCCAACCCCAACCTCCAGGTCCACGTGTACTATTTGCCAACAGTGTTATTTTAAGAATAACACCTTGCTTATTCTTAAGAAAAAATGCTTATATACTTCAAAGTGGTCCAATTCATTTAGAATGTATAAAACTCTAGAAAATAAAAATTCTGCCTTAGAGGTAACCATCATTAACCATACATCCTTCCAACTTGTCATGAACTCATGAATACCTACACATAACACACATATATTTTTTAATAGAAATAGGGAGATAATGCCATGTATATGTTTTATATTAATACATACACATACACATAATTGTTTTGATGACTTTCTAGAAGTGAAATTAAAGGACTTAAAAGGTCCATTGTAAAATTCTATGGCTTTTTGCAACTATTTCTAAAGTACCCTCCAGAGATGTGTTAATTTCTATTATTTACCAGCAGTATATGAGAGCATTATTTTTAAATGTTGTTGCAAATTTCATAGGCAAAGATGCATGTTTTATAATTTAATTTCCTTAATATTTCTAAGATTGCATAATTTTTCATGTGTCCACTTTTATTCCTTTTAAACTGCTTATTCACTTACATTTTTATTTTTTCTATGTTTTTTTCTAGATATGTCTGTGATATCATCTGTTTATCATATTTAGTACACAACCATTTCCCTTTTTGGCTTCTGTGTCTGTGCAGATGTGCTCTCACTAACCCATGATGTTTTATATGCCTCCCTAGCTGCTAAATCCCACCTTTCCTTTCTGGCTTCATCCAGGTTTTCCCTATCCTTCGGGCCCTTTCTACCTTTTTGGGTTCCTTTTATAGGAATTTAGTCTATTGACACTTTTTGCCAGTCTCTCAGTTGCTGGATTAATCACACAGTTTCCTGTAATTTGCTGATAGTTGAGTATTTATGTATTTTGTGTCTCCCCAATGAGAACAGGAGGTTTGTAAGAGTAGGACTATGGCTCAGGTTTTCTATTTTTTTTGTCCCTGGTTCCAGACACTATCCAAAAAGTTTGCTCAAGTATACTAAAATATGCAAACAACTTCATCATGATGTTTGCCTTGCAGAAAACCACACCCATCCGCTCCCAAGCAGACCTGAAGAAATTGCCCTTGGAAGTGACCACCAGACCTTCCACTGAGGTGAAGTCCAGGGGCCTGGGAAGGGCTTTTCCTCAGGTGTCTCATGCTAGGATCAGTGTTCTCACTCTCTGTGGGCCTTTTTTTAGGAACCTGTGCGTAGACCTCAGCGTCCTCGGTCGCCCCCTTTACCTGCTGTGATCAGGAACGCCCCCAGCAGACCCCCTTCTTTGCCAACTCCTAGACCAGCCAGCCAGCCCCGAAAGGCTCCTGTCATCAGCAGTACCCCAAAGCTCCCTGCTTTGGCAGCCCGGGAGGAGGCCAGCACATCTAGGCTGCTCCAGCCACCTGAGGCACCCCGAAAGCCTGCCAACACTCTCGTCAAGACTGCATCCCGACCTGCCCCTCTGGTGCAGCAACTGTCACCATCTTTACTGCCCAACTCCAAGAGCCCTCGGGAGGTTCCTTCTCCCAAAGTCATCAAGACTCCAGTGGTGAAGAAGACAGAGTCACCCATCAAACTCTCCCCGGTGAGACGCTTGTCCTCTTTAATACCCCAGCCCAGTGTCAGTAGTGTAGGAATGGAATTGTGCAGTGTCACAGCTGTACTGGGGGAGCCTTCGGAAGATACTGAATCTAAAGCTTTGCTGCTGCCCCTGAGGACGGGAAGCCTTGATAGCTGAACGGACTTGTTGGGGCCAGACAGCACATCGGTTGCCTGTACAGCGAGCTCTTCACTGTTGCCTCCGAGTTTTGGTCTGCCACAAACTTGAGTCACCTCCACTGGCTCTCGAAGTGTGGGCTTAGGTCAGTCATCTGGTGACAGATAGCCTGAGTGGGCTGCGGCAGTGGTCGGTGGTTCTTGGGGAGGTGACAGCTAGTTGGCCAGGTAGACTAAGGTGGGAAGGGAATTGAGAAGCTTCTCCTATGATAGCTTTGAGCAAAAATCCTTATGGCGCAGGGGCCAGTGGGTTGCCTGTGTACATTCCAAGTAATGTCAGGCAGGGATTGCAGGGAGTACAGCTCCTCTTGGAACGACTCCTTTAGGCTAGATGAAATCTTCCTGCTCCTTAGAGGCTGAACAGGGCCCCTCACATCCTCACGCTCCTCTTGCTCTAGGCTACCCCTAGTCGGAAGCGGAGTGTCGCAGTTTCTGATGAGGAAGAAGTTGAGGAGGAAGCTGAGAGGAGGAAGGAGAGGTGCAAGCGGGGCAGATTTGTTGTGAAGGAGGAAAAGAAGGACTCGAATGAGGTGAGTGGTTGAGGTGAGGTTCTCAAAGCCTCTCTCTCTAGGGCCTGCAGCCCCCACCAGCAGTCTGCACCCCCCATCAGCAGTCTATACCATCCACCAGCAGTCTACACAACCCACCAGCAGTCTACCCCCCCCACCAGCAGTCTGCACCAACTCTGTTTATATTCGTGTCATGAGCCTTCCAGAAGCCTAGTGATCTCTCAAGGACTCTCAGTTACACAAGTGACTAAACATGGTGCCAGGTAGGGTCTTGAGTGAGACTGGCTTCTGGCTTAACCACAGGCCTGAAGTCACACAGACGTACATCAGTGAGGCTTGAAACACATGTCCCTTGCCTGCTGTCTTGTTCGTAAAGGTAGCAGAAGGGTAGGTACCTTGGACAGTGATTTTGGAGTGTGGCTCTCAACGGGGCTTGGTGATTTAAACTGTAGCACAGGAAGTCGTGAAGATGATGGCTGATGACCCCGGGTGGCCAGTAAGGCACAAGTCTGCTCTTGGGGGGCACTGGGGATGCCTCTAATAGACTGCTCTCCACGCAGCTCTCAGACAGTGCTGGGGAAGAGGACTCGGCTGACCTCAAGAGAGCTCAGAAAGGTGAGCTGGGGGAGTGACTTGGCAGCCTGTGGCGGGGGTGGGAGTGGGAGTGGAAGTGGAGCCCCTTACCAGCAGCAATTTACCAAAGGCTCATTGAATCTGTCCTGGGTCTGGGCTCTTGTGCAGCAGTGGATCCAAGTCTAATCCCAAGCAGAATTCTGAAGGGATCACCCCTTTGTGGTTATTTTTAACACTAATTCCTTGGTGTTCACTCCTGGCGGTCACTTGTTCTCCTGCTTTTTGGCACCCTCATAGCAGATGGGGAAGGAGACCATGGTGGCTGGTCCCTGGTCTCTGTGTCCCTGGTGTAGTGGGGGCAAGCACCTAAGTGTTCCTGTCCTCCAAACCCTGGGGACTGCCTTTCTCGATGTGGCCCAGGCCAAGTGAGGGACTCTACGCTAGTTTTCTGACTCGCACCTCTGTCTACATTGTCAGATAAAGGGCTGCACGTGGAGGTGCGTGTGAACAGGGAGTGGTACACGGGCCGTGTCACAGCCGTGGAGGTGGGCAAGCATGTGGTGCGGTGGAAGGTGAAGTTTGACTACGTGCCCACAGACACGACACCAAGAGACCGCTGGTAATGCCCCAATCAGGGAGGAGCAGTGGTTCCTCGAAGGAGGTATCCCCGGCCTCCCTGCCAGCAGCCCATCCTGGGAGCCCGGGTCAGACATGACATAAGCTGTGTGTCTTCCACAGGGTGGAGAAAGGCAGTGAGGATGTGCGGCTGATGAAACCCCCTTCTCCGGAACATCAGAGCCTTGATACACAACAGGAGGGCGGGGAGGAGGAGGTGGGCCCTGTGGCCCAGCAGGCCATAGCTGTCGCAGAGCCCTCCACTTCCGAATGCCTCCGCATTGAGCCTGACACCACTGCCCTGAGCACCAATCACGAGACCATCGACCTGCTTGTCCAGATCCTCCGGTACATGTGTCTTTTGTCTTCCCACCCCAGGGCCAGCAGCAGCTCTCTGCCTGCTCCATGCCATTCTGAATTACTGTCCCTGCCTTCTTTAGGAATTGTTTACGGTACTTCCTGCCTCCAAGTTTCCCCATCTCCAAGAAGCAGCTGAGTGCTATGAATTCAGATGAGCTAATATCTTTTCCTCTGGTGAGTCTGGCCTGACCTTCGATTCCACACTCTTCATTCCCCCACCCCTGCCCCTGCATTTGTTGTAACTGTTGTGATTATGATTGTTACGCTTGTTGCAGTTGCTAGCTCTCAGCTGTGTGCTCCATCTCAGCCAGCCTCTCTCCTGCTGAAAGAAGAGGAGAGTTTATGATGTGGGAAAAAAATTGGCTTAGCTGGATATGACTCTGGTGTGCAGAAAGCCAACCCCTTCCCACCACAGGTGCTAGGAGTTGAGTCATCCCTTAGGGATAGCAGGTGTAGTTTGACATTTTATGACAAGCATACCCACTTTCTTCTGCCCCAGTAGAGGGAGTAAACCTGTCCCAGGCAACAGTGAAGAGCTGAGGCTCGAAGTGCATAGAACTTGACTCTCAGAAGGAGGTATAGAGAAACTTGTGATGTGTGGACATAAGCATTGGATCTTACTTAACCCAGCAAATGCTGAAGGGGTGCCTTGCCCAAGCAGGTGTCTGCTGGACCTCATAGTGAGCAGCAAAAGAGAGTCTTGCCTTCAAGAGGCTCAAGATTCAGTAGAGACTGAGTTGTTACCGGGTAGCTGGACATGGGGGCAGGAGCAGCGAGTGCTGAGAAAGTGGATAGAAAGGCTATGGAGGGCTGTGGTGGCCTGGGGGGCAGAGAGAGCAACTGAGTTGGAAGAAAATGTGCATTTTGCCAAGTGCCTGCCTGTGTAAGTGAAAAGGAGTGTTTGAGGTGGGGGCTTCTGTGAGCAAAGGCTCTGGGAGTGGGGTCCAGGCAACAGGCTGTGTGGTGAGCATTTAGGGTCAAGGGGCCTGAAAGTCAGGATCTGATGTGTCTTGAATCCCCAGTGTAAGTCATACTGGCTTAAACTCTGTATGAAGAGGACAGCCTGCAAAAGTTTTGAGCTGAAGGAACTGTCATCCAAACCATGTCTAGGGCAGAGGTCCACACATTTTTTTCTGTAGAGGGCCAGTTGGCAAGTAATTTCAGGTTCACAGGCTATACAGTCTCTGTGGCAACTCTGCCATTATAGCACGAAAGCAACCACAGACAGTATGTAAAGGAATGGATGTGCTGTGTTCCCACAAAGCTTTATTTACAAAAACACTTGGCAGGCTGATTCGGCCCAGGGGCTGTAATCTGCTGCCCCTTCCCCTAAGAGGGTGATTTGGGTAGCAGCGTGTTTGGGTAGAATGGGTGGATGGGAGATGCAGGGGCGAGGAGGCAGGTCCTATGTAAAAGGTCAGAGGTGAGGGAATGGGAACAGGAGTCAGCGTGGTGGCAGTGGGCTTGGGGGTGAAAGGGCTGTGTCAGAGGTCGTCAGGAGACTGATCATGGATTGTAGGCAAGTGACTCAGGTCTGTGGGAATTGGAGGTTGATGACAAAGCTATTAACTAGGAGAGAAAAATGGGTGAGTGCAATGAAGGTGACGAGTGGAGGTTTATGTGGCACCAGAAGTGCCCTCACTACGTTTCTGGTGATGTGCATTGTGCACGTGGAGATCAAGGACTGGCACTTGGAGGGAGGGGGAGGCCAGGGCTGGAGATGGGGCTCTGGGAATTGTCCACATGAAGTGGGATGATTTTTCTATTATAGGAATAGCTAAGTTTTCTAGGAAAGAGGTTCTAGAGAAAAGACAATGGGAATGGAAACTGCAGGATTAGTATATTCAAGATGTCGGGTCCTCGTGGGGCAGTTGTGTGCTTGATAAAGTTTGCCAGAGATAAAAACATGGAGTTTGTCTTTATTCTACTTTTTAAAATGTGAAATGAAGCAGGAGTTGAAGAAACTAAGGCTCAGAAAGGTAAAGAGTCTGTTGGTCAGTGACAGAGACCAGATTTGAACCCATGTACTTCTTAGGACTTGCTCTGCTCACGATGCTGCCTTGCTCTGCCAGCAAGATATGAGGGAGTGGTGCTCGGCGAGGGAGCTAGAAGGTGCAGAAATCACAGCTGCTGCACAGAAAGATCCATGCTTCAACTTTTGTCCTTGTTTAGGCTGCAGGTGCTCTCTGCAAATCCCAGGAGGAACAAGCAGCTAATAGGGTGGCTAGGTTGGCCTGGCATCTTGTCAGATTTGTTGATTTTGGTTTAAGGTTATTGCCAAACTCAGAGTAGAGCCTGGGTGCAGCAGGATCTCTGCAGTGGGCTTGAATGCCTGGGCCCAAACAAAGTGCATGAGTGTCTAAAAATAGTATATTAGGCTGGGTGTGGAGGCTCAGGCCTGTAATCCCAGCACTTTGGGAGGCTGAGGAAGGTGGATCACTTGAGGCCAGGAGTTTGAGACCAGCCTGGCCAATATGGTGAAACCCCATCTCTACTACAACGTACAAAAAATATTAGCCAGATGTTGTGGTGCATGCCTGTAATCCCAGCTACTTGGGAGGCCGAGGCATGAAAATCGCTTGAACCCGGGGAAAGGCAGAGGTTGTAGTAAGCTGAAATTGTGCCACTGGACTCCAGCCTGGGTGACAGAGCGAGACTGTGTCAAAAAAAAAGTATATTAGCTTCTTTTTGTACAAGGAGGTATAATACCAGTGTATCACCTTTGTCCTGCTAATTGTAATGTCTAAAATCACTCAAACTATTTTTTTTTTTGAGACAGAGTCTCGTTCTGTTGCCCAGACTAGAGTGCAGTGGCGCAATCTCGGCTCACTGCCAGCTCTGCCTCCCGGGTTCACACCATTCTCCTGCCTCAGCCTCCTGCCTCAGCCTCCTGAGTAGCTGGGACTACAGGCACCCGCCACCACGCCTGGCTAATTTTTTATATTTTTAGTAGAGATGGGGTTTCACCGTGTTAGCCAGGATGGTCTCGATCTCCTGACCTCGTGATCCACCTGCCTCGGCCTCCCAAAGTGCTGGGATTACAGGTGTGAGGCACCACGCCTGGCCATCACTCAAACTATTTTTTTAGCATCAGGGATAAAACAAAGTCTACTGTTCATTATGTCCTTGTCAGTTACGTCCTTTATACCATATGGATCAGGAGTTCCATAGAGCCTCAGGAGCCCTGCAATATTAAAGTATCATTTTTTCAAAAAAACTAATGTAACAATTATATGTGAATCTACAGTTACCTCAAAATAATTAAGAAAAAATTATTACAAACCATGTCTACTTTCAAGATGTTGTATACTGAATTTTAATACTTTGGAGATTGCTCCAGTATTTATTTTGTGCTGCCAAGGCAATTACTGTTTTGTGTAGAACTAGAAGTTTCTCTTGCTATCTTGGTTTAGTAGGATAAGGTGAATGACACAGTTAAATACTTGCCAGTAACAGTTTTTAAAAATGGCATCTAGAAGCCTCTCCAGGCTAGGCAGCTAATGCATCTTTACAGAAGTAAACACCAGAGTTGATAAGACTGCAGCAGCCAGCTAGCACCTGCTGGTTGTGGCGTGTGTGTTCATCACAGTGGCCTCATGATTCTCAGTGATTTACGAGTAAGTCATGTTATAAATTTGAACTTGGAAAATAAATTGAACCTAAAGAGATACTACTTAACATTGTTTTTCACACTGAGATTCCATGTGACATTTCATTTGAAACAAGTATTCTGCTCCCTTTTATAAGTCTGAAAAGCCACTAGAAAAACTGCTTGTTTCCCTTCCTACCTCTCCCCCTGGAGGTTTCAGGTACTCAGGGAAAATAGTAAAAAGCTCTGATGCTGTAGAAGTATATACTACTCCACAGATCTGGAGATATCTGCTGTTGGTTGGTAGGTGGAAAGAGAACTGACATGAGCGCTGACATTGTTGGGTATGTCTTGGAAGTGGGTGGTTGAAAGGGCTGTACTGAAGTCAGACAGGTTATGATTGAGCATGGAAGAGCGATTCTGTCATCCTTTTTTGTCACTTGGAATGGTAAGAATCGCCCCTCACGCGTCCTCACGGCCTGCTGTCTGCCAGAGCACTGTGCTGAGTGCTTCACCTGTGTGCTAATTGTCTTCTTCCTTGTGGCAGCCCCACAAGATAGGCATTGATGTCTCTCTACTCTGGACGTAAAGAGGCTGTTTGCCCTTTGTATCTAAGATGTTCCTTCAGACCAGGCATCCTTGGGTAAAGCGGGCTGGAGACACCCGTGTCAGCCTAGAAGGGCCCTGGGGACCCCTGTGAACTTACACACTCTCCCTCTTGCTCTGCTCCCAACAGAAGGAGTACTTCAAGCAATATGAAGTAGGGCTCCAAAACCTGTGCAATTCCTACCAGAGCCGTGCTGACTCCCGGGCCAAGGCCTCCGAGGAAAGCCTGCGCACCTCCGAGAGGAAGCTCCGCGAGACGGAGGAGAAGCTGCAGAAGCTGAGGACCAACATCGTGGCACTCCTGCAAAAGGTGCAGGAGGTGAGCCCGGCAGCCTTCCTGTTGCAGCTGGACCACCTGGTCTCTCAGGGAGGGGGGCCTGGGCCCTGTTCCTGTTCTCACAAGAATCTATCCACTCACAGGAATCTATGGTTCTCACCCTGGCTGCACAGCACCCTGGCAGGAGGGCTTGAGATGGTGTGGCTGCCTGGTCCTCAGCCCAGCCAGACCCATAGAACCAGGCTTTTTCCCTTTAGACATTCCGACGTACAACCTGGTTTGAGAACCCTCCAAGCCATAAAAACGAAGTTCTTTTCCACATGACGCCCAGATGGGATTGGGTAGCCCAGAAGTGGGGAGCACCCCTTAGCCTGTTGGCCCTTCATCCAGGCAATAAGCATGAGGGCCTGCTCTGTGCCTGTCCTGTGGATACAGAATGAACAAGACAAGCCAGAGAAGGTTCCTGCTCTCACAGCCTGCCAGTCTGGTGGAAGAGAGAGAATTACTGATGGTGGTTCATAAGGAGATACAGTAAAGTGTGGGGAGGCCACTTGACTAGGGTGTTCAGGGGCTTAGGCATTTGGAGACACTGGAAGCCAGTCATGCAAAGAGTGTGACACGAGCATTCCAGGCAGAAGGAAGAAGAGCAGGACTTGAGGCCTGAGCAGGGACTTGGGGGCGGTAGGGGCAGAGGCAGGGCTTGAAAGTTGTGGGGTTTGATCCCGAGAACAGTGGAGATCACTGGAGGGGTGTGGCATGATGCAGTTTTCAGTCTCAGACATGTACCTGCTTGGTTGGAGGAGGCCTGGAGGGGTCAAAGTTAGAACCAGAGCCTCCTGTGAGGAGGCTCCCACAGTTGTCTGAGACAGTGGTGGCCTGGACCTTGGGCAGTGACAGAGAAGGGAGAGAAGTGGGCATATTTGTAGTATCTGAGGGAAATATACATCTAAGACAATTGGGAACATGGGGTAGAGGCAGGGTGGGCGTAGGAAATCTGGGCATCATCTGTGCACAATAGATGAGGGAGGGGAGAGTGATTAAGACAGGACAGAAGCCTGACATCCAGGGCGGGGTGGGAGGTCAGGGAGAGGACTCTGGGCTCCATCCCAGGAGCTGAGAGAAGGGTGGAAAGGTGAGCCCCCCAATCACTTTCTGGCCCCCAGTTGATCCCTACCCTGCTCTATTCCAGGACATAGACATCAACACAGATGATGAGCTGGACGCCTACATTGAGGACCTCATCACCAAGGGGGACTGAAGGCAGGAGAGAGAGCAGCTCCCCTGCCCACCTGCCCCTCAACCCTGTAGCTGCAGGGGGAGGGGACTTCATTCATGGGTTGGTGGTCGCACCTTGGTTTGACTTACACGGGACATTTGTGTTTTTGGAGGAAAAGATACCCTGATTCTTTGAATCTTCCTTAAGTTTATAAATATTTATTTTTTAAAAGAAGATGCTGTGCCTGTGAGACCATACTTTTTTTTTTTTTTTTTTTTTTTTTTTTTTTTTTTTGGTGACTGCAAAGGACAGAGAACCTTTCCACTTTGGCCATACTGGGTTGCTAAGCCGGAGCCATTTCAGCTCCTGGCTCCTCAAGATAACGGCGAGTCCAGTGCCATCTTGGAGAAGCTCCAGGGGCAGGGCTGACTTTTCTCCTACAGGAGGAACAATGTGGGGATCTGAGGGATGGGAGGGAGACTTCCCCCTAGAGTGGTGGTCCTGCTGGGGGCTCATATCCAGGGACCCAAAAGGGGGGCTGTGTAGGAGGTTCCACATTGGAGGGGCTCTCTCTCTCGCAGCTGTCAGAGTTGGTCCTGGCTGTGGCGTCCAAACAGCTTGAGGGAAAAAGATCCTGTCTAACCACCTCATCTACTACTCAAGTTCTTTCTGAAGGAGGGATTTCTTCAGTTAACCATGGACAGTGAGGTTTCTCACCACAGTAACTTGAGTCCAGGTTGAGGGGGAGACAGATCTGTGGTAAATCTCTGACTTGGGCAGCACACTGAGTGTGGAACCCCACAGGACTCCTTAGGGAAGGAGCTTGTGTGTGAAAGAACCCCTGGGGCTGAGCTGGTGACCTCCATGTGTGGGTGCAGCAGGGCCTTGGATGGTGCCAATTGATCTGGACAGCCTGTTGATGCTTTTCTACTTCCACCCTTCGGCCTGGCCCCACTGAGCCCCATCAAGGTGCCTGAAGAGGGGGCCAGTGAGATCCCGTGGCCACAGGGACTCCAGAGGCATCTCTGCAGGAAGCACACCATGCCTTCCCTCCATGTTCCATCACGGCGCCACAATCTGTGTCCCTTAACTTCTCAGGGTCAAAGACAAAGGCAAGCGTTGCTGAATTTTCTCTTTAATGGCCATTGGAAGAGTCTGGTTCAGTTTTTCCCAACTCTCTTCCCACTCGTATTTGGGGCCTCTGGGTTTTCTGAAGGCACAAGGACTGTGACTTTGTACCACTAACCTGTGGTTCAAACCTGGGTGTGTTTCTGGCATCTCCCTAACCCAGATCAGCAATGGCCACCCTGCTCCTCTGAGGTCAGCAGAAGACTGGGAAGCAGAGGTGAGGGATGCAGGCCACACTGGAATGGGAAGTCTTTTCCCCACTGGATGTGCCTGTCTGGTGGGTTTTGGACCTTCCCAGACTACATCTCTAGGAGAGGCCTGTTTGGAGTAGTACACTGAGAGACCCTGGCCTCTTCTGCTGGAAGACTGTCCAAGTCTTGGGGTTTCTTGAGCTGGTGATTCCTCTGCCATCCTGCTCTCTCTCTTCATCTCAGGCAGCATGGGGTCCACTTTTGTCCCCAAACCTAATGTTTTAATCCAAATGCAAATTGGTTCCACATTTTTACTGGAGGGTAATCAGTTTTTAAAATTCACACACATGTAATCGAAACGCAATACTATAAAGTTCTACTGGTGAGACTCCTGAACTCAGTCTGTTTTCTTAGTAAAATCCAGCACCTTCCTTCTCTTCATTCTTTGTATCACTGTGGCTTTAAACTGTCTTCAAGTTATTCCTCCTCATCACCTCCATTGTTTTATCTTCACCCCCTTAACATCCACAGAAACAGACTGGAGTTCTTGAATGTTTTAGCTTCAACTTCTACATGTGCCCACTTTGCTTTGTTAATGCTACCACAGCTGTGCTGAATGAAGCCTGTTTCCCAGGCAGAGATCCTGCCACTCTGGATGGGAAGATAAAATGCAGGGGTCCTCTTTCCTGGTTTCCTGGGAACATCAAGGGACAGGTGACCAGCTTGGAACTCTTTGATGACTTGGAAGGAGGAAGATGGTCTGGCTGATCTGTGGTGAGAAGGTCCTTTGCACAAGGCTGCAAGAAAGTGAAGGGCAGCAATGCTGGTGTTTAAAGAACGAGAGGGGTGGGGACTCTAGGGTGTTTTGTTTGAGATGGGGGTCTCGCCCTGGTCACCTAGGCTGGAGTGCAGTGGCACGATCTTGGCTCACTGATACATCTGCCTTCCAGGCTCAAGTGATCTCCCACCTTAGCCTCCCAGGTAGCTGGAACCACAGGCACACACCATCATGCCTGGCGAATTTTTTTTGTAT
The DNA here is from genome assembly GCF_000001405.40 of Homo sapiens. Taxonomy (NCBI): domain Eukaryota; kingdom Metazoa; phylum Chordata; class Mammalia; order Primates; family Hominidae; genus Homo; species Homo sapiens. The sequence continues at coordinate 30,924,492 of NC_000022.11, read as the reverse complement.
TTTTGGTAGAGTTTCGTCATGTTGCTTAGGATGGTCTCAAACTCCTGAGCTCAAGTGATCCACCTGCCTCGGCCTCCCAGAGTGCTGGGATTACAGTGTGAGCCACCATGCCTCACCTAGGGTGTTTGGTTTTTAAGTGAAACATGCACATGGTAAACATTAAAACCGTCTAAAAGGCTGGACCATGAAAAGCAAGGCTCCCTTCTCCCACCCAATCCCTGAATTCTCCCTGGAGAGTATCCCTCCTAAGTGCACGCACTTCCACTCTGTTCCATTTCTGCCTGTTAAAACTACTTAGTGCAGCTTAGTGTAGTGGAACCTGCTTCAGAATAACCCATATGGGTCTTCTTTATTCTCATGAACCACAGAGCATTTCATGTGTTGGATATATTGTCTCCTACTTACGGACATTTGGGGTTGTTTCTGTTTTTGTTTGTTTTGTGACGGACTCTTGCTCTGTCACCCAGGCTGGAGTGCAGTGGCACAGTCTCGGCTCATTGCAACCTTCACCTCCTGGGTTCCAGCGATTCTCCCCTCTCAGCCTCCCAAGTAGCTGGGACTACAGGTGCGTGCCACCATGCCCAGCTAATTTTTGTATTTTTTGGTAAAGACAGGGTTTCACCATGTTGGCCAGGCTGGTCTCAAACTCCTGATCTCAAGTGATTTGCCCGCCTTGGCTGGGATTACAGGCATGAGCCACTGCACCCGGCCAGTCACCATTTTCATCCGGTAACTTGCAATGCACCAGGCCTTACCAGGGCCACTGTTGGGTTCAGCGGACATTTCCTTCTTCAAGCTGGCAAGGCCTCAGACAAGTCACTGCCCATTTTGGCTCCTGTTCCTCCTCTAAAATAACGGAGTTGGGTGATGGCAGAGGCTTTCCAGCTTATTCAGCCTCAGGAGTACCTAAAATTTATCCAGAAGCCCATATGGAAAGCCAGGAGTCCTGGAGCTGCTCTGGTTGAAGCTAGGATGGGGGCCCAGAGCTCCCTGCTGTTCTTGACCCCCAAATCTTTGCTTCCAAGATTCACTGGCCCCTACCTGCTACCTGTAGGCCTTCACCTGCTTACTTGTGTCCGATGTAGGGATTATGGGCTTACTCAGCAGCCATCCTCATGGCCTAAACATTTGGCCAATTTCAGTGTCCCCGAAGGGTGAAGGAGGTCTGGGCTTCCATGGGGCCTGAACTGCAGGTACCTTCAGCACTTCCTGGGGTTCTGGACATGTCAACAGCTGCCCACCAAGGCCTGGAAGATAAGGAGGGCTCACACCACTAGTGCAAACTTGGATCAATGAGAAGGGAAGGATGCGACAGACGTATCCCTCCTCTTTTCTTGTCCCCTCTGGATTCTGTTGAGATGCTTCCAGGGATTCTCCGAGGCCCCTTCCTGCTCCAGTAACTGCAGGTTACTGGGGAAGCTGTGGCCAGCTCTAATCCCCTACTTTTTTTTTTTTTTTTTTTTGAGACAGTCTCGCTCTGTAGCCCAGGCTGGAGTGCAGTGGCGCCATCTTGCCTCATTGCAACCTCTGCCTCCAGGGTTCAAGCGATTCTCCTGCCTCAGCCTCTCTAGTAGCTGGAATTACAGGCGCGCGCCACCACGCCCGGCTAATTTTCGTATTTTTAGTAGAGATGGGGTTTCGCCATGTTGGCCAGGCTGGTCTAGAACTCCCAGTCTCGAGAGATCCATCTGCCTCAGCCTCCCAAAGGGCTGGGATTACAGACGTGAGCCACAGCGCCCGGCCTAATCCCCTACTTTGATTTACTGTCCCTCCCCACATCATTTCTTCCCTTATTGAAAGCTCTGGGTCCTCCCCAATGCCCCACCATGTAAACCAATCTGTCCTGCTGGGTTTGGGGCACCGCGGTGGGCAGGGGAGAACCCGTTTGTCAGAAGGTTCAGAGTTTCTGAGTTCCTCATGCTTAATCATCAGCGGCCACAGCACAACAGTGGCCGAGGGTGGGTTGTAAATTCTCACCTGGCCTAGAGGACGCAGCCACGACCCCAGCGCTTGGCCATCTCTGTAGAGGATTCGCGGGTGGACCATGCTTAGTCTAACAGGGTATGGTTATTAACGCCCGTTATGAACGGTTCATAACCAGCCAACGGTTATGAACTGTGGAGGGCTTCCGCAATCCCGCCACACGCTCGAGGCGGAAGCGACAAGACGCCTGCGTGGTTTTGCTGGCGCGCCGCACGTGCCCGTACCGTGACCTGCGCATGCGCTTTGGAAGCCTCGCGAGCTTCCTGCGGCACTCAGGGTTTGGTGCAGGTGCCTGTGGCCTTTGGGGGTTTCCTCGCGTCTTTTAGGTAGATGCTTCCAGGGATTCTCCGAGGCCTCTTCCTACTCCAGTAACTGCAGGTTTCTGGGGAAGCCGTGGCCAGCTCTAATCCCCTACTTTTTTTTTTTTTTTTTTTTTGAGACAGTTTCGCTCTGTCGCCCAGGCTGGAGTGCAGTGGCGCCATCTCGCCTCACTGCAACCTCCGCCTCCAGGGTTCAAGCGATTCTCCTGCCTCAGCGTCTCTAGTAGCTCCTTACAGGGAGAGCAATGGCCCACTCACACCCGAAACAGAGAAGCGAGGATTTTTTTTTTTTCCTGCAAGCTGCTGCGCATTAATTAAGTCAAAGTGCAGAAGAAATCTTTTCTACCCCGGCTTTCCAACTTTCCGGGGGTCATTAGGGAAAAACATTCGTTGAACAGATGTCCTTAGGGTCGGCGCTTTTATCTCTGAAAGGAAGAACACTTGGAAAGGAAGCTGCGTGTTTTTCCTCTTGCCCGGAAGAGCCAGCCTGTATGTCTCCCTTTTGACCCGAGGCCAAGCGCCTGAAGCCTCTTGGACTTAGTTAACATTAGTCCGTTTTCTATGCGTTTGTCCTTGGCTTGGTTTATGGTGTTTGTTGAAAGGTAAATGTTTTAAAGTTTTGGGGATTCCTATCATGCTTAGGGAAATCAATCCCCTTCTCTCTTCTCCCCTTCCCCCGATATTCTCTTACATTTTGTTGCAATGTTTATTATTTATTTTTTACTAGACAACCTATAGTCCTTATGGAATATATTTTAGTATAAGCTGTAAGGCAAGAGTCAAGCGTCTCCCGCCCCCAGGTGGAAATTAACTTATTCCAGCCCCACTTATTAAATGAGCCTCTTACTAAATGAGCCAACAGGTGTGGACCTGTTGAGTTTGAGATCCCGCTTAGACGCCAGTGGAGACATCTGTGGTCAGTTGCACAAGTGAGTCTGATGTGAGGGGTGAGGTTCTGGCTGAAACTATAATTTTGGGCGTCATCAGCATCTAAATAGATCAGTCTCCCTCACTTGTTAAAAAATGCTTTTCCAGTCTTAGAATGTATTCTCTCACATGAAATATTTAATCGCATTATCCAGTTCGTTCCCATCCCTGCCTAAAAGAAAGTGTTCCATTGGGATTTAAATTATAATTGCATTAAATTTAAATGGAAGTTTTGGGAGCATTGACATTTTTGTGATATTAATCCTCCCCCAGAGGATAAAAAATGGCTTTCCATTTACTCAAGACTTCTTTTAGGTCCTCCAATAAGATTTTATAAATTCTTTATACGGGTTCTATAACTTTCTGGTTAAAATTATTCCTAAGTGTTTTATGGTTTTTGTCTATTGTGATGGAATACTTTTTTCCATCTGTATTACTCATTGATTATTAATATGTAGAAAAGCTAATGATTTAATATAATTCACTTTCTGTCTTAGGAATTCTGGTAGTTTTAATAAGCCTGTTTTTTATAGATACAAATTTGCCAGTATACCAATTTATTTTGTCAGTTTGCTTTAGTTAGAACCTCTGAAACAATGTTGAATAATGATCCCGGGCTGTTTCTGATATGCGTGGAAATCCGCATGTGAGAGTTGAGCGGTGAGAGTTTCGGCAAGTGGCTTTTAAAATGTTGGGGTTTCCTTTAGTTTGTCTTGCGGCTGCTGGGACTCACCGGTAGTTGCCAGTCCTGCCTGAGTTGGGCGCCAGGGGGCAGCAGTCACACAGAATGAAACGTGGGCTGTGCCCCCTGGAAACTGGCTGAATTTTGTCAAATGCCTTTACACCTTCTATAAAAAAAAAAAAAACATAGAGTTTTCTCCTTTATGCTGCTGTTTTTATTTTCAATTAGACATTGAGTAGCTATGAAAGAATGCTGTATAAAATATTTGTAAAGGAGGCCTGAAGCGGTGGCTCACGCCTGTAATTCCAACACTTTGGGAGGCCAAGGTGGGCAGATTGCTTGAGCCCAGGAGTTGGAGACCAGCCTGGGCAACATAGCAAGACGCCATCTCCACATTAAATACAAAAATTAGCTGGGTTTGTGCTGAGGCCGAGGTGGGAGAATCGCTTGAGCCCGGGAGGTGGAGGCTGCAATGAGCTATGATCGTGCCACTGTACTCTAGCCTGGGTGACAGAGTGAGAAACTGTCTTTAAAAAAAAAAAAATTATAAAGCAGAAAAAGTATACATCAAACACCCATCACCTGGCTTGTTATATTATAAATCCCTGTGTGTCTTTCCTGGACCCCTTGTCTCCCTGCTCAGAGGTCACCATCATCCTGAATTGTGTTTATTACTCTTAGTATTTCATTTTATAATTATGTTTCTTTACTCTTCATTATATTTTTATGAGCTCTGTGTATTCCTGTTTTATTTTGCCCTAAGTGTTTTATTTTGCTTTGTTTTTGAACTTAGATGGACATAACGTTTTATTGTTTTGCGGTTTTCTTTTTTTTTATTTTCAACATTGTGTTCCAGAAAATCATCCATGTTGTTGGATGTAACTGTAATTTATTCATTTTCACTACTGTATAGTATTCTGGATGTTAACCTAAATAACAATAAAGAGAGGTTCTCAAAAGAAAATATACTTATTTAGGAACAAAGCATTGCAAATTTATGTATATATGTCTTTTCTTTTAGAGAGCCTCTTTGTTATTTGGGTTGCTACATCACTGCCGAATACTAGACAGTAATGAAAATGAATGAATTACACCTGCAATTGAACATAATACAATTTTAAATGCATTCCTCTGAGACTGGCAACTGTGCATTGTTTATGTCTCCTGTTGCATGTGTGCAGGACTTTCTCCCTGGGACAGCTGTCCCCAACATTTTTGGTACCAGGGACTGGTTTCATGGAAGACAGTTTCTCCATGAACTGGGGTGGGGGATGGTTTTTGGGATGATTCAAACGCATTACATTTATTGTGCACTTTATTTCTGTTATTATTACATTGTAATATATAATGAAATAATTATACAACTCACCATAATGTAGAATCAGTGGGAGCCTGAGCTTGTTTTCCTGGAGCTAGATGGTCTCATCTGTGGGTGATGGGAGACAGTGACAGATCATCAGGCATTCGATTCTCATCAGGAACATGCAACCTAGATCCCTTGCATGCGCAGTTTACATAGGGTTCTTGCTCCTATGAGAATCTAATGCCGCCGCTGATCTGACTGGAGGCAGAGCTCAGGTGGTAATGGGTAATGGGTAGCGGCTGTAAATACAGATGAAGCTTTGCCTGCTTGCCTGCAGCTCACCTGCTGTGGGTCTGGTTCCTAACAGGCCATGGACTGGTACCAGTCCGTGGCCTGAGGGTTGGGGACCCCTGCCCTAGGATATAAACCTTGGAGTAGAATTGCAGAGTCATAGTTCATGCCCATTTCCACTTTACTAGGTAATGCCAGAACCGGTTGTGTTAATTTTCACACTCATTGGCACTGGATAAGTGCTTTGTCTACTTTGTTGCCTGTGCTTGATATTGCTAGACTTGAAATGTTTTGCCAGTCTGATGAGGGCATAGTGGTATCTAAGTGTGGTTTAATTTACATTTTTCTGATTTCCAAAATGTGGTTGAGCACCTTTTCTTATATTTATTGACCATTTATTTTATTTATTTTTATTTATTTTTGAGACAGGGTCTTGCTCTGTCGCCCAGGCTGGAGTGCAGTGGCACAATCGCAGCACGCTGCAACCTCCACCTCCTGGGCTCAAGGAGTCCTCCTGCCTCAGCCTCCCAAGTAGTTAGGACTACAGGCATGTGCCACAATGCCTGGCTAATTTTTGTATTTTTCGTAGAGACAGGGTTTCGCTATGTCACCCTGGCTGGTCTTGAATTCCTGGACACAAGCGATCCGCTTGCCTCAGCCTCCCAAAGTGCTGGGATTACAGGCATGAGCCATTGTGCCTGGCCTTATTGACCATTTAGCTTTCTGTGATGAAGTGTTTGCTCAAGATTTGGGCCCATTTTTCTATTTTATCTTTTTCTTATTTGAATTTTGTATATTCTGGAGACATGTTCTTTATAAGTTATCTGTGTTGCAGATTTTTTCTCCTATTCTTTGGTATGCCTTCTTTTTTATTCTCTTTTTACAGAGTCTTGAGGACTAGGAATCCTTAATTAAAAATGTAGAATAATAATTTATCAGTCCTTTATTTATAGTTTTATTGTAACTTGTTTAAGAAATACTTCTTGGCCGGGTGCAATGGCCCACGCCTGTAATCCCAGCAATTTGGGAGGCCGAGGCGGGCAGATCACCTGAGGTCAAGAGTTTGAGACCAGCCTGGCCAACATGGTGAAACCCCAACCCTACTAAAAATACAAAAATTAGCTGGGGTGTGATGGTGAGTGCCTGTAATCCAGCTACTCAGGAGGCTGAGGCAGAAGAATTGCTTGAACCCGGGAGGCAGAAGTTGCAGTGAGCCAAGATTGCACCATTGCACTCCAGCCTGGGAGACAGGAGCAAAACTCCATCTCAAAAAAACAAAACAAAAGTAAGAAATACTTCTCTACCCTGAGGTCATGAAGATATTTTGTATTATCTTCTAAAGTCTTTATAGTTTTGTCTTTCACATACGGATGGTCCCTACCTTAATGATGGTTTGACTTAGGATTGTTTTGACTTTATGATGTTGTGAAAGCAATACCCATTCAGTAGAAGCTGCACTTTGAATTTTGAATTTTCATCTTTCTCCAGGCTAGCAATATTCTATAAGATATTGTGATGCCAGGCAGTGGCGGTGAGCTGCAGCTGTCAGCCACAAGGGTAAACGTTTGATACTCTATAGTGTACAGTGTTCAATAAATGATGTGAGATATTCAACACTCTATTATAAAAACAGGCTATGCGTTAGATGATTTTGCTCAACTGTAGGCTAAGGTAAGTGTTCTGAGCTCATCTAAGGTAGGCTAGGCTAAGCTATGATGTCCTGTAGGAGTATTAAATGCATTTTTAACTTATGATATTTTTGACTTATGATGGGTTTATTGGAACATAACCGTATTGTCAGTTGAGGACCATCTATGTAGATTTTTTTAAAAAAATTATTATTGTTATTATTTTTTGAGACAGAGTCTCATTCTGTTGCCCAGGCTGGAGTGCAGTGGCATGATCTTGGCTCACTGCAACCTCTGCCTCCTGGGTTCAAGTGATTCTCCTGCCTCAGCCTCCCGAGTAGCTGGGATTACAGGCATGTGCCACCACACCCAGCTAATTTTTTGTATTTTTAATAGAGATAGGGTTTTGCCATATTGGCCCGAGTAGCTGGGATTACAGGCATGTGCCACCACACCCAGCTAATTTTTTGTATTTTTAATAGAGATAGGGTTTTGCCATATTGGCCAGGCTGGTCTCGAACTCCTGGCCTAAAGTGATCTGCCCATCTTAGTCTTCCAAAGTGCTGGGATTATAGCTATGAGCCACCTTGCTTGGCCTAGATCTTTAATCTGCCTGGAATTGAGTTTCATGTATGGTATGAGGTAGAGCTCCAGTTTTCCTCCTTCCTGCCTCCTTTCCTTCTTCATTCCCTCCCTTCCTCTTCTCTCCTTCTTTCCATACATATACCTGGTTGCCTCACCACCCTTCATTGAGTAGTCTTTTCTTTCACTATTGATCTACAGTGCTACCTCTGTTATATATCAAATGTTCATTTATGTATTAATCTGTTTCTGAACTTTTAATTTAGTTATATTTGTCTATTGTCTCTTTCTCTATGCCAATACTAATTTATTTATGGTTTTACATTATTTTGATATCTAGTTGAGGCAGTCCTCCTACTTTTCTTTTTTTTTTTTTGAGACTGAGTCTTGCTCTGTCGCCCAGGCTGGAGTGCAGTGGCATGATCTCAGCTCACTACAACCTCCACTTCCCTGGTTCAAGGGATTCCCCTGCCTCAGCCTCCTGAGTAGCTGGGATTACAGGTGCGCACCACCACACCTGGCTAATTTTTTTGTATTTTTAATAGAGATGGGGTTTCACCATGTTGGCCAGACTGGTCTCGAACTCCTGACCTCAGGCTATCCACCTGCCTTGGCCTCCCAAAGTTCTGGAATTACAGGCACGAGCCACCGCACCCGGCTACATTTCTACTTCAGTAGTGTCTTGACTACTGTTAGGTGTTAGCATTTTCGTGCACATTTTAGAATCATCAAGCTCCATGAGAAAACCTGTAGGGGTTCCATTGGAATTGATGGTATCCATCCTCAACTGAGAAGAATTGATACCTTTATAAGTCTTCCCAACCATGAATATGGTATAATTCTCAATCTAGATCTTTCTTTAGTGTCTCTCAAAAAAAGTATTACAGTTTTCCCTTTAGAGGTCTCATATGTCTTTTGTTAGATATATCTTTGGAACCTGATGATTTGTAATGCTGTTATAGATGAATGACAACTTTAAGATACATTCTCTGACAGCTTGTTGCTAGTATATAAAAATGTAATTGATTTTTATGTATCAACTGACTGTTATCTACACAATTCTTTTGGATTTTTTAGGTCATATCATCAGTGAACAGTGATAATTTTACCAATTCTCATACTTTATATAAATATTTTTCTTGCCTTATTGCATTGGCTCTGAGTACAATGTTGAATATAAAGGGGGAAAGTGGGCATCTCTTTTTGTTCCCTGTCTCGCAGGAAAAGTGCGTGTGTGTGTGTATGTGTGTAGATATCAGATTATGGAAATTTTCTTCTATTCCTATTGCTAAACTTTTTATTTTATTTATTTATTTATATATTTTTTGAGACAGAGTCTCACTCTGTTGCCCAGGCTGGAGTGCAGTGGTGCCATCTTGGCTCACTGCAGCCTCAACCTCCCAGGTTCAAGTGATTCTCCTGCTGCAGCCTCTTGAGGAGCTGGGATTACAGGTGTCCACCACCATGCCCAGCTAATTTTTGTATTTTTACTAGAGATGGGGTTTCACCATGTTGGCCAGGCTGGTCTTGACTCCTGACCTCAGGTGATCCACCCACCTGGGCCTCGCAAAGTGCTAGGATTACAGGCGTGAGCCACTGTGACCAGCCTTTTTTTCCTTTTAAATATCATGGATGCATGCTGAATTTTATCTAAAGTGTTTTCTTCATATTAGCATAACTATGTAGCATTCTCCTTTAATTTGTTAATGTGGTGAATTACATGGTTTAGTTTTTCTCAGCATAAACTAACCCTGCATTTTTGGAGTAATGATTTTCTATATTGTTAGATTTATTAATATTTTATTTTGAATTGTACCGTTACAAGTGACATTAGTTTGTAATTGTCCATTCTCATACTGTTTGTCAGGTTTTTGTGAGCAGGTTATGTTAGCTTGAAGAAATCAGTTTGGGAGTATTCTCTCTTTCCCTCTACTCTTGGAAAGTTTCTGTAAGATTGGAATTATTCCTTGGTCATCTGTGTAGAGTTTTGTGTGTATATATTAGGACTATTTTTGAGACAGAGTCTCGCTCTGTCACCAGGCTGGAGTACAGTGATCTCGGCTCACTGCACCCTCCGCCTCCCGGGTTCAAGTGATTCTCCTGCCTCAGCCTCCTGAGTAGTTGAGACTACAGGCGTGCACCACCACACCCAGCTAATTTTTGCATTTTTAGTAGAGGCGGGGTTTCACCATGTTGGCTAGGATAGTCTCGATCTCTTGACCTCATGATCCGCCTGCCTCAGCCTCCCAAAGTGCTGGTATTACAGGCATGAGCCACTGCGCCCGGCCTGTTAGGACTACTTTTAACTGATTTTTAAAAAGAAATGATTTTAAGTCTTTTTTTTTTTTTTTTTTTGAGACAGGGTCTCACTCTGTTGCTCAGGCTGGAGTACAGTGGCATGTTCTAGGCTCACTGCAGCCTCCACCTCCCGAGCTCAAGCCATCCTCCCACCTCAGCCTCCTGAGTGGCTGGGACTACAGGCTTGCACCACTATGCCTAGCTAATTTTTTGTGTGTGCGTATTTTTTGTAGAGATGGGGTTTTATTATGTTGCCCAGCCTGGTCTCAAACACCTGGCTTCAAAGCAATCAGCCTGACTCGGCCTCCCAGAGTGTTGGGATCCCAGGCATGAGCCACTGAGTCCAGCGAAGTTATATTTTTGTAGGAACTAATCCATTTTATCTGTTTTCAAATTTATTGTCCAAGTTGTTCATAATATTCCTTATTTATTTTTTAGGTGTCTCCACAGGGCAAGTTCTAATAATATATTCTTACTTTAAAATGTCTCTGGTGTCTGTATTTATGTCCCCTTTCTTTTTTTTTGAGGTAGAGTTTCACTCTTGTTGCCCAGGCTGGAGTGCAGTGGCACAATCTTGGTTCACTGCAACCTCTGCCTCCCAGGTTCAAGCGATTTTCTTTTTTTTGTTGTTTTTTCGAGACAGAGTCTCGCTCTGTTGCCCAGGCTGGAGTGCAGTGGTGCAATCTCGGCTCACTGCAAACTCCGCCTCCTGGGTGCATGCCATTCTCCCACCTCAGCCTCCTGAGTAGCTGGGACTACAGGTGCCCGCCACGATGCCCGGCTAATTTTGTTTTTGTATTTTTAGTAGAGAGGGGTTTCACTGTGTTAGCCAGGATGGTCTCGATCTCCTGACCTCGTGATCCACCCGCCTCGGCCTCCCAAAGTGCTGGGATTACAGGCGTGAGCCACTGCACCCGGCCCAACCTCAGCTTTCTTCGTTCTTTTTATTATTGCCCTATTTAATGAATATCTGATATTTGATCTTTATTTTCATTCTTGTCCTTTTCTTTCTTTTTTCTGTTTTTCTTTTTTTTTGAGACAGAGTCTTGCTCTGTCGCCCAGGCTGGAGTGCAGAGTCGCGATCTCGGCTCACTGCAAGCTCCGCCTCCCAGGTTCACGCCATTCTCCTGCCTCAGCCACCCGAGTAGCTGGGACTACAGGTGCCCACCAACACGCCCGGCTAATTTTTTGTATATTTTTTAGTAGAGACGGGGTTTCACCGTGTTTGCCAGGATAGTCTCGATCTCCTGACCTCGTGATCCGCCCACCTCGGCCTCCCAAAGTGCTGGGATTACAGGCGTGAGCCACCTCGCCCGGCCCATTCTTGTCCTTTTCTTGAGTTTTTTCTAATGTTCATTTTCTTACTCAAATTGGATGTTTAAAAATTTTTTAGTCTTTTACATGAGTCTTAAATGTTGTAAATTTTCCTCAAGGTACTGCTTTACCTGTATTCTGTATGTTTTAATATATAGTTTTTTTTAACTGTATTTTCTGATTTCTGTTGTTTTCTTCATTGACCTATGAGTTATTTCAAAATATATTTCTTAATGTTCTAGCCTGTATTTTCCTCCCAGTTTTATTTTTGTCATTGATTTTGAACTGTCTTCATTGCAGTCTGAGAATGTGGTCCTTTGAAATTTGCTGAGGCCTTATGACTGGATTAAATATATGGTTAATGTTCATAAAAGTTCCATGTGCATTTCAAAAATATGTATTCTGCAGTCACATTTAATTCCCTATATGTGTCCATGACATCAAGTTTGTTAATTACATAGTAATTAACATAATTTGTTGTCTGAGCTCTAATTACTGGGAGAAATAAATTACAATCTTCCATTATGATAGTGGATTTATCTTTATCCATTTTACTTTATACATTTTGAGATGTTATTAGGTGCATAAGAGTTTTAGAAATTTATGAGTTTTACCTTCTATCACTACAAAATGACCTTAAAATTCTAGTAGTTGACATCTAGTAATATTTTTTGCCCTAGAGTCTGTTTAGTTTATATATTTATGTTTTAGGTGTATTCTTGTAAATAGCATATAGCTGGATTTTATTTTTAGTCCATATTTTTTTCTTTGAAGCATTTAGATTACTTAAATTTTATGTAATTACTGATGTATTATTGATGTATTTGTATTCTCTTATTTGTGATTTTTATTCTACATTCTTTTTTCCTCTCCTCTCTTGCCTTCTTTAGATTTACTGAGCTTTTTCCCCCCTGCATTCAATGTGTTTCTTCTACTGCTTTGGAAATAATTTAGTATTGCTATTCCTTCAATGATTACCTGATAAGTTTTACATAATCTTAACTCATCATAGTCTCACTCCACATGACACTATATATTTTTTTTAAAAAAATTTAATATACTGTTTAATATGCTAAATAAAATTTAGTTATACACACATACACACACACACACACACACACACACACACACACATATATATAGAGAGAGAGATAGAGACAGAGACAGACAGAGACAGGATGATTGTGTAGCTCACTGCAGTCTCGAACTTCTAGGCTCAAGTTATCCTCCCTCCTCAGCCTCCCAAGTAGCTGGGACTACAGGCATATGCCACCATGCCTGGTTAATTATTTTATTTTTGTAGAGATGGAGTCTTGCTATATTGCCCAGGCTGTTCTCAAATTCCTGACCTCAAGTGATCATTCCACCTTGGCCTCCCCAAGTGTTGGGATTATAGGCATAAACCACCACACGTGACCTGTGGAAAAGATATTTTGACTGAGGAGAACACTAACATTTTCTTCTCTATTTTGGAGGTAATACTTCATTGTCTTCTGACTTCCTTTGGAGGCTCTCAGTCTAATCTGTTCTCGGTCTAATTGGCCTTCCTTTGGAGATGAATTTTCAGGATCTCACTCTGTTGCTTGGGCTGGAGTGCAGTGATGTGATCATAGCTCACTGCAGCCTCAAATTCTTGGGCTCAAGCAATCCTCCAGCCTCAGTCTCCTGGGAAGCTAGGACTACAGACACATACCACTTTGCCTAATTTAGTTTTTATTTTTATTTTTTTGTAGAGATGGGGTCTCTTCTGTTTTCCCATGATGGTCTCCAACTGCTGGTCTCAAGTGATCCTTCTGCCTCAGCCTCCCAAAGTGCTGGTATGACAGGTGTGAGCCACTGTACCCAGCCTAATTTATGCTGTTTGAAGGTAATTTAAAAAAATCTGCTTGTAAGATTTTGTTGTCTTAGTAATCTTGCAGTTTCACTATGTTGTATTTAGCTGTGGATATCTTTTTATTTACCATAATTAGGATTTGTTGAGCTTAACTTTGTATATTGGTGCTTTTCATGATTTCTTGAAAAACTTTTAGCCATAACTCTTCCAAGATTGCTTCTGTTCCATAAAAAATTCTTTTCTCCTTCTGAAATAGATCAGACATATGTGGGATCTTATCTTTCATGTCTTAACGTCCCTTTGATATTTTTCACCTCTTTGTGTCTCTGTGTTGTATTCCAAATTTCTTCAGATCTCACTTCTGCTTCACTAATACTCTCTTCAGCTGTGTAATCTGTTGTAAAACTATTCACTGAATTATTTTTAGTGATTTTAAAACATTTTCTTGAAATTTGTTTAGTATTTTTGAATATTTACTCTTCACTTATTTTCAAGCTGCCTTTCTGTTTCTAGAAATATATTAAACATGCTTATTTTCTCTTCTGTATCTGATAATTTTGCTGTGTGGAAGAGTTTTCTGTCTGATTCTGCTATCTGTTATTTCTGGTTGCCCTTGCTCATGGGTGCTTGTTTCCTTGTGTGTTTGGAGATTTTATACTGTGAGCTGCTCATTTTCCCTGCAGTTTCATATCTGAGGTTCTCTAAGGCCTAGAATGAAGGGGATATCTTCCAGAGAGGACTTGTTTGCTTCCCCCAGGTGACTGGGAACATTGCCAACTTCGGACCATGTTACGTTCTCTGTCAGAGGTTTCATTGAGCCATTCAGGTAGTGTGTATTTGGGCTGCAAAACTAACTGAGGGTCCACTCCTGATTACAAATTCTTAGGGGGATTTTGTTTTTCTCTGCTCAGGACCAACCTTTAAGACAAGTGATTTTTCTTGTATTTTATTTTGGATTCACCATTACATTGAAGGTATAGCCCTTGGGGGCCCCAAATTTCCTATTATATGCCCTACCTTTGGAGGCTCTTTTGAGGCAGTGAAAACTTACAGTTAAGCTCATTGGGCTTTGTAAATAATTGCAACATAAAATATTTCAGACCTTTTCTTACCTCTCCAGGTTTTCATACCCACTTAGTTTTTGGCTTGAGTATTCCTCATATTGTTTCCAGTTGATAGATGCATTTAACATTTAAAAAATTTTATCCAACCTGTCTAGTTTTCCACAAAGGAGTATTTTCTGGGAACCTAGTTTACCATATTGCCAGAAGAAGAAATCCTTCGACTGGCTGATGTAATGAATGATTTACCATGGAAAGCTTCACAACATTGAGCCATTTTCATTCTTGCATTTCTGCAGTAAACCTAATTTGGGCATGGGCTTACCAACTTGGGGTTCAGTCTTTTCTATGTGGCTAGATTCTATTTGCTGTTCTCTTGTTTGGATTTATGAAAATTCTTTTCTTCCATGAGACCGAACTATATATTCCCTTTATTTTCACACTGTCTTTATTAGGCTTTGTTGCTGAAGTTATGCATGCTGGCTAGCTTCATAAAAACAATAACTTAAATAGCATTGAGTTTGTCTCTTGTCCTGTTCTCTGTTCCACTTTGAAATGTGTCTCTCCGTTGTCCTCTCCTCCCAACTCCCTTCATGCTGAGCCATGTCCCTGGAGATGAGAGAACCTCAGGCCTTCTCTTCCCCACTTACAGAATCTGACTCCTACCCCACAGTCTGTCAGGAGCAGCAATTTGAACTCTAGAGTTTGGGGGAGGCAGGAGTTTCCTGGGTCCCTGGGCTCAGCTCTTCACCAGTTCCATTTCTGAGTCTCCTCCCAACTTGGTACTGCAGTCACGCCCCCCACTGCTCAGGTGTTGTCCCACTGAGCGTTTGCTTTAGCTGGTCTTCCTGGCCTGGTGTTGATTCTTTCGACAGCTATTCATTGAGCACTGACTATGTGCCAGGCAGTGGGATGCTACAACGTATAAGATCATGAAGCTCACAGTCTCATGAAGCTCAGTCCATTGGGGTAGGGAGGGCAGACCATCAACAAATACACTGCATGGCAGCCAGATGGTGATCAGAGAGCAGTGGAGAAAAAGGAAGCTTTGTGTCCCCAGGAGGCTTCCAGCTTGTTTGGGCATCTGCAGGTCAAGTCCACATAGTCCCCTCATCGTCCCCTGAGTTCTTGCTGGAGTGCAGTGGTGCGATCTCCACTCACTGCAGCCTCCGCCTCCCAGGTTCAAGCGATTCTCTGCCTCAGCCTCCCAACTAGCTGGGATTACAGGTGTGCGCCACCATACCCTGCTAATTTTTGTATTCTTAGTAGAGACGGGGTTTTGCCATGTTGGCCAGGCTGGTCTCAAACTCCTGGCCTCAAGTGATCTGTCCGCCTTGGCCTCCTAAAGTGCTGGGATAACAGGCGTGAGCCACTGCACCTGGCCCTATTTTTTTTTTTTTTAATTATTCTCTCATATAAATGTCACAATCAACTTGTCAAGCTTTTGAACTATATTGGTAGGATTTTAATAGGGATCATGTTGAATTTGTAGGTTTGGGACTAACATAACTGAATGTGAACCTAGCTATGAAGATGTATTTTCCCTCTTAACTCAGGTCCTCTCTGTCATGTCCATAAAGGTCTTTCACCTTGTGGTTTTGTGTCTTTTTGTCAGATGGCCTATGTCGTAGATCTTTTTTTCTATTACATTTTCTATTCAGTGATGGCTGGTGTATGTGAGACCACTGAGTGTAGGTTGATCTTGTGTCCTGCTGGTCAGAGTGGTCTTTCTAAAACATTGCCCTGATGTCAATTTCTGTTCAAGCTCTTCAGAGCCCTCTCTTTGCCTCAGTAGACTGGCCTTTGTCCCCTCCCTTGCCCTCTGGGTCAGGTGCATCCTGAAGTTCCGCCTCACCTCTATTCCAGTGAGACCTGCCCCACCAGCTCCTCAGCCGGGACCCCCCGCCAGCGGCCACCTCCCCACAGATGGGGAAGCCTAGCCAGGGAAGGAGCTGTGCAGGGCCAGCCCCAGATCCCACAGGGCTGGGGTTGGAGGCAGATGGTGAGAGCGCTGGCCCTGATGCCCCTGGGGTGCCCTGCTCTACCCATCCCTCACCTGGAAGTGCAGCCCAGGCTGCTGCTGTCAAGTGATATGGAACTCACCAGGACTGGCCTTCCCCCTGGAGGCCTCCCACTAGACAGCTCCAGGAACTGAAACACGGGAGGGGGCTGCTGGTGGTCTCCACCTGGCTAAAGCACTGCCCTTCCAAAGAGCAGAGCTAGGTCCAGGCCAGCCCTGTGGCCGCAGCATCAGGGCAGCCTTTGGCAGAGCTGCGACCCTCTCCCCAGCCCTTTGGGCAGTTTCCTGGGTCTCCTACCTCCTCTGTTCCCCTGACCCCCCTGCTGTTTCACCCCATGCTCTACCCCCATGCCACCTTGTAGGCTATCACCTGTCCTTCTACATTAGTCCCCTCCACCCAGATACACAGAGACTGAGGGACAGGGCAGTGGAAAACTCCAAAGCCAAGGTTTTTTATTACTGGTCAAAAGGTGCTCGCTAACAAAACAGTGTTGGGGAGAGGTACATTCCACAGCTCTGTAGGAGCCCCAGTGGGGCCATCCTGCCCCACCCCGCCCCGCCTCTCCAGTGGGCATTGTAAGGCATTTCACACATTGGTGTTTTCACTTTTTTTTTTTATATATATAAAAACAAAACCAGTCCTGGAGTAGAAAGAAAGACCCTGTGATGAACTTTTAGGACTAAACTGAAATGGAAAGGATTGGAGTGTGGGATTCTGAGGGGCTGGGTCAGTGGCCATGGTGGTCCAGCCCCCCATGGTTGGCAGAAGCCGCTGGAAGGGGGCATGAGGAGAGGGAAGGGCACAGCTCACATGAGGGCCAAACTCAGACAGGTGCACCCGTCTTCATCATTTTTTCACTTTTACATACTGTAGAAATTTAAGCAAAATAGCTATTTTATATATATTTATATATCTCATATATATATATATAAATTAGGCAAATAAAGAGTTCAGGGGACACTGAGATGGGGCACCCCTAGGGGCCTCCTAGGATGAGGAGGGATGCAAGGTCTCTGGTGCCCAGGTCACCAGCCCAGGCTGGGCCAAGGGTTTGTTCATTATTGCTGATTTGGGGCCTGGGTCTCAGGGCGGGGAGCACCTGCAGGCCCTGCCTTCCAGCCCTTCCTGGCCTCTTGGGGCTAGGGAGCCACCCAGGCTGGCTAGGGTGAGGCCAGGGACTGCTGCCCTCAAATCCACATGGGGGTTACCATCAGTACCCCCTCCTGCATCTGTGGATGGGAGCTCCAGAAACTCTGTGCTCTGCTGGGCTGGGGCAGCCCCCTTCTGTTTTGGGCTCTGTGGGGCCTTGGCAGGTGGGGGTGTGGGCAGCTCAGATACCATCGAGGACTTGATATGTTGAGCTACAAAATTCTCCCAACTCAAAGCGGTCTGGCTTCCTGATGTCTTAAAAATAAGGGGCTCTTGCCAGGACACTTTTGTGGCAAGAAAGCACACTTGGAAAGCTGTCTGCTAAGTGCGGTACTAAAAATATTTACTAAACATCATGGCTGGAAAGAAATGGAGATCATTTTTCTAAAAAAGTCGAAGAGGCTCCCTAGGAGGGGCCAGTTCCTCCCTGGGTTGGGGGCTGGTGATTTGCGCAGCCCATGGCCCGGGCCAGCCGGCCTGAGTTGTGGTAACTGGGGCAGGGGTTCCGGTAGGGCCCAGGTCCATAATGAAGGGGCACGGGTGACCCGGCGCACCTGGGGGCTGGAGAGAACCCAGGTCAGCCCTTCCTCCTTCCAAGGTGGGAGTCCCAAGAAAGTGTGGGGAGAAAAAAAAAATAGGAAAGGAAATAGGAAGGGCTGGGAATGGGCTGGGAGAAAGACCATTCAGTACTAAATTGAGTGCATTAATGAACAGGTGGGCCAGGCTGTGCAGGCGCCTGTATTTGTTGCAAGGGTGGCGCTCAGAAGATGTTGGGGCACATATGCCAGTCTTGCTTCTCCTTGGCCTCCCAGTAGCCGCCCTTGTACACACAGGCCATCTCCCCGGTCAGCGGATCCAGCCTCTTCTCAAACCACAGTGGCGTGTAGGCATCCGCCTCCTTCTCTGCTGGGCAGGCACAGTGGGCTGGTGGGTGGGCTTGTGGCCTGCTCCCCCGGAATCCGTCCCTGCGGCACCCCCACCCGGGCACCCCTTTCCTCCCCTCCGGGGCGCCCTTCCCGCCCGGCCTCACCTTCCTCCGAGCTGCAGCTGCTGCCCGGCCCGCAGGCCTCCAGCCGCCGGCGCCGCGACAGGCGCTGCTTCTCCTCCAGCCGCTGCTTCTCGGTATTGGCCTCGTCCCAACGGCCCTTCTCCATCAGCCGCTGGTCGGGCCGCAGGCGGCTGTCGGTTGGCGCTACGCCCTCCTCGTGCTCGTTGAGGGTCAGGGCCAGCTCTGAGAAGTAGTACATGTTCTCCGCGTTCTCCCTGTGGCGGTGGTGGTGGCGGTGGCGGTGGCTGCGGTGTGAGCCGGACCACACCTACCCGGCCGCCCTCCCCTGCCTGGCGGTGTCTCCTCCCGGGTCGCCTCACCCTCCAGCTCCCCGCGTCCAGGACTCCCTCTGGCCTTGGGCCCACCCCAGTGAGCCCACCCGGCGGAACCCAGTGGCTGCAAACAGCTGCCTTCTGCTCCCCACACCTCCCATGCTCACATGGCCAACCTGCCGCTGTTTTGCCACATTAGACTTATCTGGGAATTGCCTAGCTTAATATTTCTTGGCTTTTCTTCTTTTCTATTATGTTTTTTTTTCTTCTTCTTTTTTGAGACAGTTTCACTCTTGTTGCCCAGGCTGGAGTGCCTGGCTTTTTTAAGACAGGGTCTCCGCTGGGCACGGTGGCTCACGCCTGTAATCCCAGCGCTTTGGGAGGCTGAGGCCGGTGGATCACGAGGTCAGGAGTTCGAGACCAGCCTGGCCAACATAGTGAAAGCCCGTTTCTACTAAAAATTAGCTGGGCATGGTGGCAGGCACCTGTAATCCCAGGTAATCTACTCAGGAGGCTGAGGTGGGAGAATTGCTTGAACCCCAGGAGGCCGAGGTTGTGGTGAGCCGAGATCACACCATTGCACTCCAGCCTGGGCGACAGTTCGAGGCTCCGTCTAAAAAAAAAAAAAAAAAAAAAAAAAAAAAAGACGGGTCTCGCTCTGTGGCCCAGGCTGGAGTGAAGTGGCCTGATGCTTCGCTCACTGCAACCTCCGCCTCCTGGGTTCAAGCAACTCTCCTGCCTTAGCCTCCTGAGTAGCTGGGATTTCAGGGCATGCCCCCACACCCAGCTAATTTTATTGTATTTTTAGTAGAGATGGGGTTTTGTCATGTTGGCCAGGCTGGTATTGAACCCCTGACCTCAATTGGTCTGCCTATCTTGGCCTTCCAGAGTGTTGGGATTACAGGCATCAGCTACTGTGCCCAGCCCATATGGGGATTTTTCTAGTCATTTTTTTCTAGTATAATTGCCTTGGAGTCAGACAATATACTTGGCATAATTTCAGTCCTTTGAAATTTGCTTTATGGCCCAGTATATGGGCAGTTTTTGCACACGTTCCATGTGATTGAAGAGAACAGTTGTTGAGTGCAAGGTTGTATAACTGTCCAGCAGGCCTTGTTCATACTTTCTCTACTTGGGTTGTAGTTAGTCCATCTTTCCTAATGTGTGTATATATATATATATATTTTAATTATGTAAGCATTTCTTTTGTTGAAAAGATCCTTCAAAAAATACCATATCCATAGATTTACTTTCTGTCATATAGCTGAATGTGTTGTGTTTGGAATTCCATTCTTACATTTAAAAATCAACTGGATTGCCCAGAAGTTTAGATGCATTTGTTTTGTTTATCTTATCCATGTTGAAGATGTAAGTAGATGATCTGAAAGCATCAGGTTTGATTACACCACATAATGCATGTCTTTCTTAAGTATTGGTGTTACAGAAATGGTTCTTATCTCAGAAGCAGAGAAGCTGACAGGTGGAAGGAAGGAGAGAGAGTTCTGTGGATTGCGGAGGGCTTGTAACAAAGATACAGTAGGAGAAGCCAAGGATGACAGCTGGTGACCAATTACTAAGCACACTACACTGGGCGCCCCAGGCTGCCCTGCCATCACCCTGCAAGGGTCTCTTTCCTAGGCCCTTGCTGCCAGCCACCCCCCAACTGCTCCCCAAAGGGAAGACTGGGATTTGGGTACTGAAGGATTTTTCATCTGTTCACACGCGGGCG
Source organism: Homo sapiens (assembly GCF_000001405.40). Taxonomy (NCBI): domain Eukaryota; kingdom Metazoa; phylum Chordata; class Mammalia; order Primates; family Hominidae; genus Homo; species Homo sapiens. Next base: position 30,904,050 of record NC_000022.11, on the reverse strand, counting down.
TTCAAGCTCAAAAGCCTAACCACTACCACTCCCAGGTAAGTGCTGAACCCTGCACATGGGAACAACCAAGTGTGTCCCCAAGATGCAGCCTCAGACCTAGACAGCTACAGTCCTATACGATCATCTGAAGGTCCTGACAGCTCTGCACAGTACAATTTCATTTATCAAGGGAAATGAGTAAAGTGCCAGATTCTAGACCCATTTTGGCTATGAATTGAAGGGGAGGTGGGAAGCACAGTATCTCATTATGTTGCCTGTACTAGGAACAGATAAACACAAACACACAGGCAACAGGGATTTGGGGAAACACCGTGTCAGCGCTGCAGTCAGCCAAGCGCAGTGCCGGCGCTATCCCCCAACCCTCAAAGTGCCTTGGCCCAGGAGAAAAGAAACCCGCTGGCCATTCACTGCAGCTGGCCAGAGAGGGGAACCTCGACCATGTCTGGTGAAAGGAGTGAACTCATTGGGACACAGCCTCGAAAAAGCAGTAACAAAAACACGTGAATGCCTACGAACATTCACTGTGTTTTCTCCGTGGACTCCCTACTGCTATTCCACGGTCTCCACTTTCAGCTCTCGCTGTTTCTCGTGTGAGCCTATCCCTTTGGACAGTCCACTTTGGGAGGGGGTCATGGAGCCAGGGCTCCCTCTCAATAGGAATGGAAAGGACCCTGCAAGAATCAACACCTATTTTTATCCTAGTTGTGAAAACAAGGTGCCTCCAATTCTCTATGTCCATCACAGCTGAATACCAACAAGGTGCAGTTCAGTCTGTCAGTGACTTCTGGTTTTTGTTGGAAGCCAACGCAATACAGAACTCAACATGCAGGTCAGAAGAGAAACACTGAGGAAGTGAAAGGAAACACCTGGAGTCGGGCCAATGTCTAAAGTAAAAAGAGAAAGCAAAGGAGAAAAATGATGCAGTACCGCAGCCCAAACGACTCCCCCACATGGCCACCTCCGATCCTCTGGGGAACCCCATGTGCTGCTAGGAAAACGAGCTGGGAGGAAAAGGACAGAAGGAAAATGGGGAAGCAGTGGTAGAAAGAAAAAAACGCACAAACAGGCACTAGATAGATACAGCAAAGCCCAGAATGTACTAAAAACCACTTGTTGACAGCTGGCATGCACTCACAACAAGCTGTGTTTCCACTGTGGGGAGGCCAGTGGCAGGTATGGGAGTGGAAGCTGCAGGAACATGGCCCAGGGGTTCACCAGGCTGTGGTCCTGCTCCAACCCCCCATGTTCCATTCCCTCCCAACCGCAGGCTCATTCTTGCTCCTTGTGAACGAATTCCACTCTGGGTCTGGCACCCCTGAAGATAGCAGAGTTGGGATCGGCTACTTCATTGAGGGGCGTCACAACATTCGAGGTTTAAGCTGGAGTCGTGGTCTTTGTGCTCTTCCCTCCTCTGTCGGTTCTTTGAAATCCATGTTGGATCGTGGAAGGGAGGACCATCTCTGAAGTGGCTGCCCAGTTGGGGGCCTGTTTCCCAGTCACCTGGGTGACTACCTCCCCTGCCTCCTAAGAAGTCATCCCTGAAGCTTCGTCATCTGGTACACCTTTTCTGAATCCAAAGCCACCTTTATCTTGTTTTCTGCCTTCTGCAATGTCCACATGAAGTGACTGATTGCCCAACAGTGCACCATCGTATGTCAAGCTTCCTTAAGGGAATCCACTTCATCGAATTCTATATAGCAGAATCCTTTAAATTTATCTGTGTCTTTGTCTCTGACTACCCGTACACTCCTTATGCTGAGATCCTTAAAGATAGCATCTATGTCGCCCTGAACCATATTAAAAGGTAGATTCCCTACATATGCTGTGTGTGGGGCTCTGTGAGCGACTCCTTCTGGCTACGGGAACCATGGCCACCAGTACTGCCGTGGGACCCTCTGTTTTTTTTTTTTGGTTTTTTTTTTTTCGTTTTTTTTTTTTTTCTTATATTGCTAAGATTTACCTACGTTGCTTCATGTTACTGGGGTTTAGTTTTAGCTACTGTATATATTCCTTCATGCGAATGTACCACAGTTATTCATTCAATAAATTTGTGTTGTTTCCAAGTTTTTGTTATTGGAATAGTCTCATGCATAAGTCCTGTTGTACATTTGCAAGAATTTCTCGAGTATATTTTTACAAGTAGAATTACTGGGTTATGACTATGTGATTGTTCATCTTTTTTTGTGGGGGGACAGAATTTCACTCGTCGTCCAGGCTGGAGTGCAGTGGCACCATCTCGGACACTGCAACCTCCACTTCCCAGGTTCAAGCACTTTTCCTGCCTCAGCTTTCCGAGTAGCTGGGATTACAGGTGTGTGCCACCACGCCTGGCTAATTTTTATATTTTTAGTAGAGACAGGGTTTCACCAGGTTGGCCAGGCTGGTCTCGAACTCCTGACCTCAGGTGTTCCACCGGCCTTGGCCTCCCAAAGTGCTGGGATTACAGGCGTGAGCCACCACGCCTGGTGGAAAGCCAAACTGTTTTCCCGAGTGTTGTACCAATTTACAACTTTTGCCAGCAGCAATGTATCAGAGATATTGTAGCTCTACAGCTTCTTCAACATACATGTTTTTTATGTGATGACTGGCCATATATGTTTTTTCTGCAAAATTCTTGTTCATGACTCTTGCACATTTTCCCATTATTTTTACATTAATTGTTGATTAGAAGTTCTTTATGTGGGCTGGGCATGGTGGCTTTTGCCTGTAATCCCAGCACTTTGGGAGGCAGAGGCAGGCAGATCACCTGAGGTCAGGAATTTGAGACCAGCCTGGCCAACATGGCAAAACTCCATCTCTACTAAAAATACAAAAATTAGTCGGGCGTGGTGGCGCACACCTGTAATCCCAGCTCCTCAGGAGGCTGAGGCAGGAGAATCGCTTGAACCCGGGAGGCGGAGGTTGCAATGAGTCGAGATCACATCACTGTACTCCAGGCTGGGCGACAGAGTGAGACTCCATCTCAAAAAAAAGTTCTTTATGTGATCTTTTAAAAATTTTTATTTTTAACTATGATAAAATACTCTGTATTCTTGATAATAATCCTCTGTCAAGTGTAGGTAGATATTATGATTACCTTCTCCAAGTTTGTTTATGCATCGTCTTTTCACTTTCTTTAAATTGCCTTTTAGTGAGTAAAAGTTCTCAATGAACAAAAGTATTTTAATATGGTCAAATATATGAATGCTTGTGTCTTAATATTTCCTTAGGGTCTAAAAGATATTTATCCTTTTCAACTTATTAAGTCATTGTTTACAATAAGTCAAACAATATTACTGTAAGGCCATTATTTGATTTTCTTTATAACGTGAGGGAGGGATTAAGTGCATCTTTTTCCATAGGGATTCATTTGGTGAGCCATTCCATCTTCCCACAAGATCTGATATGCCACCTTTGTCATATATCAGAGGTACATATATCCATGGGTCTGTTTCTGGGCTCACTAATCTGTTCCATTAGAGTTTCAAAATAAAAATCCTGGTATCTAGTAGGGTAAGTCCTCTCTGGTCTTCTTCAGAAATGTCTTGGCCCTTTATTCCTCAATATAAATTTAAAAATTCTAATATCAAGTTCCATGAAGGTCCCTATTGGGGTTTTGTTTGATTTACTGACTTTTTAAATCATGACATCTTTACAATACTTTCTATCCGTGAACATTATATCTTTCTCCATTTATTTAGCTCTTCTTTGGTATCTCTTATTAAAGCTGTATAATGTTCTCTATAGAGGTCTGGATTATATTAGATTTATTACAAGGTCCTTGATGTTATATGCTGTTAATTTTTTTTTTTTTTTTGAGATGGAGTTTCGCTCTTGTTGCCCAGGCTGGAGTGCAATGGCATGATCTTGGCTCACCACAACCTTTGCCTCCTGGGTTCAAGTGATTCTCCTGCCTCAGCCTCCAAAGTAGCTGGGATTACAGGCATGCGCCGCCACGCCTAATGTCGTATTTTTAGTAGAGATGGGGTTTCTCCATGTTGGTCAGGCTGGTCTCAAACTCCCGACCTCAGGTGATCTGCCTGCCTTGGCTTCCCAAAGTGCTGGGATTACAGGCATGAGCCACTGCGCCCAGTCTTGGTGTCTTATCTTAAATTGCATTTTTCTAGTTGTTTGCTGAAATGCAACTGGCTTTCGTATATTAATCTTGTATCTAGGCACCTAAAATGATTTTTCTGAATCTATTGAAATCTGTTAATATGATTACTCTATGGATTTTCTAATATAAAATCATTCTATATACCCAGGATAAATTCAACCTGATTATAGGATGCTATCTTTTTTATACACTGTTGGATTGGATTTTCTGATATCGTTTTAGATTTTTGCTTATATATTTATTAATATAAGTGAAATAGGGTAGAACTTTTATTTTCCTACTGCTAGTTTAGCCTAATTTGGTATGAGGGTTATCCTGGCCTCACAGTTTAGGAGAGGTGAATATTTCCTTTTTCTATGATCTGGAACACTTTATATGAAATTGGAATAATATGTTTCTGAAAAAATAGGGAGAATTCATCTGTAAAATTATCTGGGCCTCGTGTTTTCCTTACAGTAATTTTTAAACTATTGCTTCAGTTACTTTATTATAGGACTATTCATGTTTTCAATTTCTTCTAGAGTCAGTTCTTTTTCTTTTTTTTTTTTTTTTGAGATAGGGTCTGCTTTGTCACCCAGGCTGGTATGCAGTAGTAGTCATGGCTCACTGCAGCCTCGACTTCCTGGGCTCAAGTAACCTTCCTGCCTCAGCCTCCTGAGTAGCTGGGACTACAGGTGTGTACTACACATGTGTACTACAGGTGGGACTACACATGGCTAATTAAAAAAATTTTTTTTTTGTAGAGACAGGGTCTTGCTGTTGCCCAGGTTGGTCTTGAACTCATGGGCTTAAGCAATCCAACTGCCTTGGCTTTCCAAAGTGCTGGGATTATAAGCATGAGCCACTGTGCCCAGCTAGAGTTAGTTCTTGTTATATTTTTCTAAGAATTTGTCCCTCCAATCTAAGTTTTAATTATGTCTTTATACTTTATATGTCACATTAAACCTTTTTCATTAATATTTATTTCTATCTTGATCAGTCTTGTCAGTAGTTTTCTATTTTGACAGTTTTTTTATGCCTCAAAGAATCAACTTTTGGCTTTGTTTTTTTAATTGATTTCTGCTTTTATTATTATTATTATTATTATTATTAATATAAAGATGATATCTTGCCATATTGCCCAGGCTGGTCTCAAATTCTTCAACTCAAGCAATCCTCCCGCCTCAGCCTTCCAAAGTGCTGGGATAATAGGGTTTGGCTGTGTCCCTACCCAAATCTCATCTCAAATTGTAATCCCCACATGTCAGGGGAGGGACCGGGTGGGAGGTGATTGGACCATGGGGGTGGTTTCCCCCATGCTATTCTTGTGATAGTGAGTGAGTTCTCACTAGATCTGATGGTTTTGTAAGCAGCTGTTTCCCCTACTCTCTGCTCTTTTCCTGCTGCCTTGTGAAGAAGGTACTTGCTTCTCCTTCACCTTACGCCATGATTGAGTTTCCTGAGGCTTCCCCAATCAATCAGGCAGAACTGTGAGTTAATTAAACCTTTTCTCCTTTATAAATTACCCAGTCTCTGGTGGTATCTTTATAGCAGTGTGAAAATGGAATACAGGAGATTATAGGCATGAACCACCACGTCTAGCCAAAATTATTATTATTTTTTGAGACAGGGTCTTGCTCTGTCACACAGGCTAGAGTGCAGTGGTGTGTTCACAACTCACTGCAGCCTCGACCTCCTGGGCTCAAGTGATCCTCCCACCTCAGTCCTCCTGAGTATCTGGGACTACAGGCATGTACCATCATGCCTGGCTAATTAAGAAAAAAAAAATTTTTTTTTGGTAGAGATGAGGTCTCACTATGTTGCGCAGGCTTTTGCTCTTGCTCTTATTTTTAAAGTATATTTTCTTCTTTCTTTGGATTTCTATGTTGAACTTTCTCTAATATTAGAATTGAAACTCAAAGGAGAAAGCCTCAACATTAAATGATTTAAGGCAATATATTTCCTTTGAAGCATTGCTTTTATTGCATCCAGCCAGTTTAAATATCTTTTTTTTTTTTTTTTTCCTGAGACGGAGTCTCACTCTGTCACCCAGCCTAGAGTACAGTGGCACGATCTCAGCTCACTGCCACCTCTGCCTTCCAGGTTCAAGCGATTCTCTTACCTCAGCCTCCCAAGTAGCTGGGATTACAAGTGCGTGCCACCACGCTCGGCTAATTTTTGTATTTTTAGTAGAAACAGGGTTTCACCATGTTGGCCAGGCTGGTCTCGAACTCCTGACCTCAGGTGATCCCCGCCCTCCCCCGCTACCTTCGGCCTCCCAAAGTGCAGGGATTACAGGCGTTGAGTCACCATCCCGGCCAAATATCTTTTATATCATTCAGTTCTACATATTTTGCATTTTTTCATTCTAATTTATTTTGCCTATGAGTTATTTAGCAACTTAAAATTTTTTCCCAAATATTTGGGATTTTTTGGTCATTTTGCTTGTAACTTCTATCTTAATTGTCTTATAGATTGTGGTCTGTATGCTACGCTCTAAATCTCTGAGGCTTCCATTAGGGTTTACTACACAATCAGTTTTTGCATACATTCCATGTATACTTGAGAAAAAATATGTTCTCAGAGTTGCATCCATGAGTCGGTAATAGCATATATTGTTTGGATCTCCATATACTTGCTGGATTGTTTATTGTTTCCATTTGACCTATCAACAAGTGAAAGAGGTGTACAGAAACTTCCTAATTTCCCACTGTGGTGATGGATTTATCAATTTCTTCCTTAAGTATCAATATGTGCTTTGTCTATTTTTGAGGAATTTAATTATATGCATAATGTTTAAAACTATTATATCTTTTTGATTAACTCAACCTTTTATTATTATAGCAACTTTCCCTTCCTTAATAATGCTTTTGTCCTAAAGTCTATTTTACCTGATATTAATATAGCTATTATAGCTTTTTGTTAGTATTTTCATGATATGTGTCTTTTAATTTCAACTTTTATATACCTTTATATTTTGGGAACCTCTTAGAAGGTCTGGGTATCTGGATTTTAACACATCCAGTTAGGCCGGGCATGGTGGCTTGTGCCTATAATCCCAGCACTTTGAGAGGCTGAGGCTGGAGGATCACTTGAGGCCAGGAGTTTGAAATCAGACAGAGCAACATAGTGACACCCTGTCTCTATAAAAAATTTTTAAAAATTAGCCAGGCATGGTGGTGCATGCCTGTAGTCCTAGCTATTCAGGAGTGTGAGGTGAGGATCACTTGAACCTGGGTGTTTGAGGCTGCAGTGAGCTGTGATCGTGCCACTGGATACCAGCCTGGGTAACAGAGCGAGACTCTGTCTCTTAAAAAAAAAAAAAAAATCCAGTTTGCCAGTAGTTTGCTTTTTAACTGGTGAGCTTCATCTATTTATATTTATTATAATCATTGATAATGCTTGGGCCTATTGCTATCATGTTAATTTATAGTTTTTGTTTGTGCTACTTTTTAATTTTCTCTTACCATTTTAACAGTCTTATAAATGTTTCTTCCTTCCAATAAGAACTTAGCATTTCTTCACATCCCTCAGATCCTTCCCCTTCTCCTCAAATTCCATCATGCTAAGATTATCTAAACTTTTAAATCTGCATTATTATGAGCATGTTTTCTCTTTTTCTTTGATCCTAGTAGTTGTTTAAAAAATAACTTTTAGGCTGGGTGTGGTGGCTCACACCTGTAATCCTAGCACTTTGGGAGGCCGAGGTGTGCCGATCACTTGAGGTCAGGAGTTCAAGACCAGCTTGGCCAACATGGTGAAACCCCGTCTTTACTAAAAATACAAAAATTAGGCGAGCACAGTAGCATGCCCCTGTAATCTCAGCTACTCGGAAGACTGAGACAGGAGAATCGCTTGAACCTGGGAGGCAGAGGTTGCAGTGAGCCAAGATCATGCCACTGCACTCTAGCCTGGGCGACAGAGTGAGACTCCATCTCAAAACAAACAACAACAAAAAAACAAACAAAACCCCTTTATTCATCTATTGTGACATCCTTGCTCCCCCCATCCTCCCCTTTAAAGTACTGTGTCCAATACTGTTTTCATTTTTTTTTTTCCTCCCAGGCTAGAGTGCAGTGGCACGATCTCGGCTCACTGCAACCTCTGCCTCCCAGATTCAAGTGATTCTCATGCCTCAGCCTCCTGAGTAGCTGGGATTACAGGTGCGTGCCACCATGCCTGGCTAATTTTTGTATTTTAGTAGAGACGGGGTTTCTCCATGTTGGCCAGGGTAGTCTTGAACTCCTAACCTCAAGTGATCTGCTTGCCTCGGCCTCCCAAAGTGTTGGGATTACAGGCGTGAGCCACCACACCAGGCCCAATACTGTTTTCATTGTGGGTTTTTGTGTGGCAAAACTTCCGAGGCTGCGTGCCTAAGGATATGGCCCCATATGTGAATGTCAGTTTGACTAGATACAAAATTAGAAAGTAGAATTTTCTAACTTAGAAAATATTAATCCAATGTTGGTTATTGAAAAATCTGATGTCTAATTCTTTATCCTTGACTAAAATCTTTTGCTCCTCCCTGGAAGCTATTAGAATTTTTTCTTCGGTCTTCATTTTGACTATAGCATGATCTAGATGAACATTTTTCTTTATTTCTTGTCTTCAGCACGCTATAGGCCCTTTCAGTACAGGGTCTTTCATCTCTTTGCTTTTACTTTGGGAAATTTATCTTCATTTTATCTCCCTCTTTGTTTTTTTTCTTCTTCTTCTTCTTTCCTTCTGGGATTCCAGCTAAATGGGTTATTTTAGCGGTTACCCTAGGAATCGCAATAAACATACTTCATACACTCAGAAGCGAATGTGCATCTTGATCCTCTTCCAGGGCAGCATGGCGGGGGGGCCTTTGAGCAGTTTCCCTCCCTTCATTCCTCTTCGTACTGTGCAGCCACATTCTAAAATGTTGTACCCCACGTTATTCTTGTTTATTCAGCTTTAATTTAGGTGCACAGTATCCGTTATTCTCAGATCTTCCCTCTGGGGTCAGTTTCCTCCTGCCTGAGGTATATCCTTTTGTGCAGGTCTGCTGGTGCCAAAGTAAGCTTTTTGTTTGCCTGAAAATGCCTTGATTTCACCTTCATTCTTTAAAGATGGTCTCCCTGGGTGTATAATTCTAGGCTGGCAGTGCATCTTTCAACTCACGGAAGATATCATTTGACTGTCTTCAAGCTCCCATTTCTGTTGATAAGGGGACAGCTCCTCGGAAAGTGATGTCTTTTTAAAATCTGGCTGCTTAATAGTTTCTCTCTGATTTAGTTTCACTGCATAGATTTAGGTGCAGGAATTTCTTTGTTATTTTTATCTTCAGGTACAGTCCCTCTTTCCTTTTGGGACTCTCGCTAGAAATGCCAAACCCTGCTCTCAATCTTGCTGAGCAAGCTTACAGAAATGCAGATTCCATTGCAGGAGGTCTGACGGGAGACTGCACTCAAACTCGCTCCCAGGAGAGGCCAGGGAGCCTGCTCCAGGGACCTCACTCTGTCTTCTCCCTGTAGCTTCCTGTCTTTTCTGGGTTTTGTCTCTTTAAATGCAGTTCTGTCACTTCTTCTGACCTGTGTTCAGGTGATAGATTCTAGCTACTAAACCATTCCACAGGGTTCTCAATGTCAGTCATTTTTTTTTCCCTTTGTCGAATTTCTATTTGTTCTCTTTGGACTTTCCTATGCCACATTTTATAGTTTTCTATTTCCTGTGGTTATTTTCAAGTATGTTTTTTATTTCTTGTAGGGAGGAACAGGGAGGGGCTCTGTCCTATCACCTCGCTTAAAGTCTGTGCATAGTGTTTGATAGTTTCACATTTATTTACTGTTCGGTGTCTGCCTTCACACTGGGATGTCGGCTGCATAATACTGTTCTCTGCCCATGTGTGGACTGAACCCTCCCGACCTCCTGTGCCTGTCAGTTGCTTTCTGTCCACTGTCCTCCTTCCCTCTCCTTTGCCTGTGGCGGGGCCCCTGCCAGCCCTACTCACGGCAGCGGGTACTTCTTCCACAGCAGCTTGGCTGACAGGGTCTGGTACACTGTCTTCTGCTTCCCGTCAGAGCTGGGGCTGCTGGGACTGCTATGCATGACCTTGGAGCACTCCATTTGTTCATCCCACGAGCCGGACAGCACGTAATGGGCCTTGCCCTGGCTGTCACTCACCACTCCTGTCACCTGTGGACATTGGCAGGACCAGCGTAGGTGCAGACTCTGCCCTGGGCCCCCTGGGGTGCTTAGAGGTGGCTGGTCCTGCTTACCTTCCGGGCTGCCTCTTTGGAGAAGTAGCTGTAGGGCAGGAACTTCAGCTGGCACCGGTCATTGGTCTTATGGTTCACAATCTCGATGTCCCCTGACTGGCGAAGGAGGGCAGTGGTCAGCGGCCAGCCCCCGGGCCATGCACCCCCTCCCCAAGGGCGCCCCTGACCTGGTCGATCCAGAGCTTGCCCACGATGATGTTGTGAACAGTTGAGGTGCTCTTCCTCCACACGTAGTGATTCCCACTGGCCTGGAATTCTAAGTGGATGGCACCTGGAGGCAGGGGACAGGTCAGAGGTCATGCCCCCCCATGCAGGGCTCTGGCCAGTCTGCCCTTAGGCCTGGTGTCTTGAGAACTAGGCTGGGGGGTTGAAGAGGCAGGCCTACAGGGAGGTCTCCCTTGGAAGCCCCCAGCTGGCTTTTGCATCACCAGAATCCTCCCTCTTATGCACAATGTCTCTGTGTCCCAGGAAGGCACCGGGCCCCAGCTCACCTAGCGGCATGATGGAGATGTATTTTCCCCGGAACTTGCTGGAGATGGTGATCTCCTGCCAGAGGCTCCAGCCATGCTTGGAGAACACGTAGTGCGCAGCTGAGGGGGGGTGGTGGCTCACCTGAGACCAGACCCATAGGATGTGAGCATCTGCCAGACATGAGCCCAGGTTCCACTTGCCCCAGCCAGGGAGGGACAGCTTGCCCTGCCTCAGCAGGCACAGCTCTGTGGCCATAGGAGCAGTCCTGGCTGTTCCTCAGGTGGCCATGGACCCAAGGCAGGCCCCCAGGAAGGCACTGCCTTGAGCAGAAAAGCATCCGGGTGCTGTCCTGAGCCTCTCAGTGCCTGGCTCCTGGGCTGTGAAATAGGGGTGATGGTGGACCTCATGCTCAAAGACATGTCTGTGACAGGTGCACTGAGGGCTGATAAAGGGTGTCACACTATGCCGAAGGTTCCATGTCCACTTCTCATCTAATCCTCCCCACACACCAGGTGTGTCTGCTGTGCCATGTTATACCAAGGGGGCCCAGACTGGCAGAGTGATTTTAGCCAAGGGGCAGTCGGGCCCTGCCTCTGGCCAGCCTGGCTCCAGAGCAGGCATCCACATCGATGCACTGCCCCGGGCCCGGCCCTCCCCTGCCTTGCTGGCAGTTCCACCAAGCCTCCCTTGTCTGTTCTTCCTTATTCCATGCTGCTCTGGCTGTGGGGCCCAGGCTTCCCTCTCCTAAGTCTACCCACTCCCCAGGACAGCAGCCCTAGCCTAGCCCTGCCCCTGGCCTCCAGCTGCCCTTGGACATCTCATCTCCCCTCAGACAGGCAGAGCCGGGATCCCGCTGCCCGCAGTGTGCCTCGCCTCACTTCCTGTCTCTGTAAGAGGTGCCCACTTGCTTCCTATGCCCCAGGAGATGGGTTAGCTGGCCCTGAGCTCAGCTGATCCCTCCCCAAGGAGCCCATAGGAAGCTCTGCCTCCTCCTCGCCTATACCTCAGCATCCTGCCCTTCCAGCTGCTCACACCAAACGCTCTGCAGCCTCTCTGGCCCTCCTCATGCTCCTCCTCTAACCCTAAGCAAACCCTTCCTGCCCTTCCTTCAAATCGCATCCAGCATCTGCCCCCTCCACTCCCACCTCCATCTCCCCAGGCTTCCCTGTGGGCCACTCCCTCCATCGCAGTGGAGGGTTCCTCTGGCAGGTCAGGAGGCAGGCCCCACCCGGGGTGCACCGCCCTCCAGCTGCTGCTTCTTCACCCTCCTTTCCTTTCCTCCCCTCACTCTTTCTGCATCAGCAAAGCTGCTCCCTGACCACCCCCTTTCTAAAAGAGCTGGAAGCAGCCACAGTATCTGCCTTGCTTTCCCAGCCCCATGAGAACCAGAGCCGTGTCTGTTCACTTCCCAGCTGAAACCTCCATGTCTGAGCAGCACCTGGCATGTCGAGGGCACCTAATGTCTGCTAAGTGGAGAAATACATTCACTCCAGGGTTCAGGCCAAGGACCCAAGATCACCCTGACTGCCCCCCACCCCCGTATCCAAAGCGTCGGCAAACCAGCTGGCTCATCCTTCAAAAGCTGCCTGTGTTCTGGCCTCCCCCTTCCCCCAGGTCTGGCCACCACACCCCTGCGTGTGTCACTGCAGCCACCTCCTAACGGGGCCTTGCAGCAGCTGCAGCCTCTTCAACTAGCAGCAGGGTCTGTGAATGGCCAGCATCCCACACTCATGCCAGGAGCCAGGGCAACGCCAGCACCAACAGAATCACCTCGTTTCCAACCAGGACGCCCAGGTTCAGCATGGGGCTGCCACTGCTGAGGCTCCTGGGCCTGGGTCTTGGCATATCTCTGTGGGGAAGGGGTGGTGGGGACAGGCTGCTGTCACTGGCTGGGGCAGAGTCCATCCCACCGCACCCAGGCTCCTCCTGCCAGCCGCCTTCAGCTCGGTAGTGACCCCATGCTCCTCCCCAGCAGTGCCCACAGATGCCCCTCCACCTCTGCTCCACAACACCCTGGACTGGAGCTTATCCTCCCGCTCCCTGCAACCAGGCCTGACCTTGTCCTCACCAAGCTGAGTTCTCATGCCCCTCGCCATCTCCAGGAGGCCGTGTGCCTGCCCCTGCCATGGAAGGCCCTGCTCCCTGGCTGGACCTCAGCTTGATGGCCCCTTGGGTATGGGCAGTCAGGGTCAGACAGACGCTGCCTCCCATTTGTCACCTTGGGCCTGGCAGGAACAGCTTGGCCAGAGTGTGGGTGGGCGCCACCCAGTGCCAGCCTAGCCCCCTCACCTGCTCACAGAGGGAGCGCAGGCCCATGTCGTCGAGGCGGTCCAGCTCGAAGGTCTCCCCCAGCATGGGGTTGAAGGGCTTGGCGATGCGGTGCACTGTGGTGGAGTAGGAGGACACAGAGAAGGCGGCCACCAGGCACATCTGCTCCACTGAGCTGGTGCAGTGCACTGCCTTGTCCAGCAGGTGGTGGTACTCCAGGTCCTCTGTCAGCCGCTGGAGCATGGACAGGGGCTCATTGAAGTTCACCTGTGGGTGGACAGGTGGGTGGTCAGGCTGGGCACCAGCCCCGGCTTGGCATGGTGCCCTTGCTTTTCTCGGATGTTCAGGGACATCCCTGCTCAGACAGCACCTTCACAGTGAGGCTCCTCAGATGGCCCTGTCCAACAGTGTGGCCCCCAAGCCATCACCTCCCTGGCCCCTCCTGGCTGTTTTCTCCACAGCCCTTCCCACTTTCTGGTCTGCTGCATCCTACACACTTTTATCATGTTCACTGTTGCTCTCCTCTGCTCGGATGGACACCCACCAAGGCCAGGGGTTCTGCCTGGCCCACTGCTGTATCTTGAGTGCAGAATCTTAGGAAGCAGTGACTGAATGGGCACATGAGTCTGTGGGTGGAGGAAGTGGGTCTTCCCCATGTTGCGAGCTGTGATGGGGCCCGGCACAGGATGGGTTAGGCCCAAGGCCCCTATCTCGGTGTCACATAGGGCAGGGTCACTCTCCCCACCATGATGCCATCGGGTACGAGTCTCAGCTTCCTCGTGTTATCTTGCTCCATCCTCCCAGACACTGAAGAGGACGCTGTGTTTCTCCCCACCCTACACATGTGGACACAGAGGCTGGAGATGTGAAGGAACTTGTTCTGGGTCACACAGCAGAACCGTCTGGCCTAGTGGAGATGCCACTGTAGCCAGGTGGCATGAGGATCCAAGCTCTGAGCCTGCATTTCCTGGGGATGGCACCAGGGATGGCTGCCAGCTGAAGGAGGGCCCACCCCTCCACACACAGCCCCATCCTGCCACTCCCCATCTACAGATCGGGACAGCTGGGACATGGTAAGGTCCTGTGAGATCCAGAGGTGCTCTGGGGCTCCCCAGGTTGCTGATCCATGCAGAGCTTCTCCCTGGCTCCTCCTGTCAGAGCCCAAAGATCCCTGTACTTTGGAAGATTGGGCAATGCCTATGTGCACGATTAGATAATTAGTTACATGCTCCTCAGGTGCCGTTAAGAAAATGACACTCCAAGGCTGTGTGTACTTCACACAGGCCATTACTGCTCATCCACGCACAGGAAAGCAGCCCCAGAGGACCTGTCGGGGCTGCCCTGCCCGAGCCACCCACCGGCATGGGGATCCTGGAGAGCTCCCGGCCGATGCAGTTCTTCATGATGCTCCAGAGGTTAAGGCTGTAGTTGGGCTTGTTGGGAATGCGGACTCGCCTCTTGACTTTGGATGAACCCTTGGGCACGAGCGAGGCACCATCTAGTACCTGCCACATAAGTGGGGACCCCCTCACCGTCAGCAGAGGCCAGAGCGCCCCCTTGGCTTCCAAGTTTCTGCCCTCCACCCTGAGGACTGGCACCAAGCCGGCCACTGGTACGCTGCTGGTGGAAGGCCAGGATGGTGCTCCTGGACTGGGGCATGGGCCTGCCTGCTGGCCCCCAGTTCTTGGTGCTGGCCTGTCCCTCCCACCCCCTAGGCCAGAAGCTGCCTTCTGGCCCTTACAGTGCTCCCCCTCACTTACATTGTCTGCTGAGCTCCAGTCCACGGAACTTGTCCCGGTGCTACCTTCAGCTTTTCTGCTGGAAATACAAAGCGGGAGGCAAGTTACTAATGAATCCCGAGGTCTCCTTGGGACCTGGCCCATCCTCTCTCCAGACAACATCATTTTCATTGCTAGTAAATGTCCTGGTCACTGCCGTGTGTTCTGTGTGTAGACAGGCACCGCAATAACAACATTTCAAGGGTGGATAGTGTATATGACAGTGGTCCCATAAGACTATCATATCGTATTTTTAATATACCTTTTCTATGTTTAGATACACAAATCCTTAACCATTGTGTCACAATTGCCTACAATATTCAGTACAGTCACATGTTGTACAGGTTTGTAGCCCAGGAGCTATAGGCTGTGCCATATAGCCCAGGTGTGTGGCAGGCTCTATCAGCTAGGTTTGTGTAAGTATACTCTATGAGGCTCACACAACAATGAAATCCCATCTGGAGCAAGACCGATAGATTATTGATTTTTTGAGACAGGGTCTCTCTGTTGCCCAGGCTAGAGTGCAGTGGCATGACCATGGCTCACTGCAGCCTCCACCTCCCTGGGCTCAAGCGACCCTCCCACTTCAGCCTCCCAAGTAGCTGGGACTACAGGCCTGCACTACCATGCCTGGCTAGTTTTTGTATTTTTTGTAGAGACAGGGTTTCGCCATGTTGCCCAGGCTGGTCTCAAACTCTTGTATTCAAGCAATCTTCTTACCCTTGGCCTCCCAAAGTGCTGGGAGCCACTGGGCCTGGCCAAAGCAAGATTTAAAGGAAAGAAAACCCCAAGTAGACAACTAGATAGCTGGTGAAAAGACCAGATGCAGCCTAAGACCAGGGTGGGGGAGGCTCTGCCCAGCTGCAGCCACCTTACCTGTCTTCCTTGGCCTCGGTGATCACGGTGATGAAGGATGTGGAGTCTTCCATGGCATCAAAGTACTCGGTATCTTCATCTTCCTCACTGTCCTCTCCTTTGGGAGTCAAGAGGCTTCCTAGAGACACAGACAGAGCTTTAATTTGTAACCTCACAAAAGGCTCAATCTCGCCTCCCTAAGTCCAGAGCCAAGGGCTCCCCCAACCCCCATCTGGCCTCACTCCCCTCCTGCTTCAGTCACCTGGGCAGCCCTGATTCCCTGGGCTGCGGCCACCCTTGCTCCCTCTGCTAGAATCATGTGCTTTCAACGCATTCACCGCACAGGAGCCTCTTTCTGGAAGCCCCCCCGATCTCTCAACATGTGGGTCAGTCTTTCTGTGGCCCAGCTTCCCTTTCTGATGGACCCCTGTCCAGGGTCCCCATGACCCCCAACCCAAGGCTAGGTGGGTGGCCACCTGGCACCAGGACACCCCTGTCACACAGGGGACAGCTGGGCTCATTAAATTTAACTCTTGAGAATGTGAACCTAGGTGCAGACAAACTGTTGCCAGTGGGTGATGGACATGGGAGATACAAAACCACGAAGAGGCAGTCAAGAGTTGGCCAAGGCCAGCCCACATGTGGGCACAGCCAGGGATGTGCATGTGGGGGCGCAGAAGTTGTGTATGCAGAGCCAGCTGGCAGAAGGTCATGGGACAGCCCTGCCCTGGCTGCCCACTCACCCTCAATGAAGCTCTTGGAGGGGTTGGCCGGCCGGCCAGGGGCACTGTGGAAGGCCCGCTCGAGGCTGTTGTGCTGCTTCGCCAGCTGCTCAATGGTTTCCTCCAAGTGCACGCGCTGCTCCTGCTCATACTGCAGTGCCCGCTGCCATTTCCGACTGTGTATCTCTGCTAGTTCCAAGAAGTCCCTGCAGGCCTGGGGAGGGAGGAGTGGCGGTATGAGACCCTGGCCTCTGGCAGGGGCCCATCTGTCAGAGGCATGTGAACCAGAGCAACTCCACCTTAAACAGGAGCTGGGTAAGATGAGGCTGAAACCTACTGGGCTGCATTCCCAGACAGCTAAGGCATTCTAAGTCACAGGATGAGATACAAAATACAGGTCATAAAGACCTTGCTGATAAAACAGGTTGCAGTAAAGGAGCCGGCCAAAACCCATCAAAACCAAAATGGCGACGAGAGTGACCTCTGGTCGTCCTCACTGCTACACTCCCACCAGCGCCACAGTTCACAGATGCCATGGCAACATCAGGAAGTCATCCTCTATGGTCTAAAAAGGGGAGGCATGAATAATCCACCCCTTGTTTAGCATATCAGCAAGAAATAACCATAAAAATGGGCAACAAGCAGCCCCGGGGGCTGCTCTATCTATGGAGTAGCCATTCTTTTATTCCTTTACTTTCTTGATAAACTTGCTCTCACTTTGCACAGCAGACTCGCCTTGAATTCTTTCTTGTGTGAGATCCAAGAACCCTCTCGTGGGGTCTGGATCAGGACCCCTTTCCTATAACACATCTGCTCCCCCACCTCCATTCCCTGTGAGGACTAAGCTCTGATATTTTTTATCTTGCCCAAATTCCTATCTAAGGCGTCTGGGGAGTCATGCCCTAAAAACCATACATTCTCATCAGATGGGCTTTATTTAGCCCTATATATCGTGACTTACTTTCCAACCTGACTCTGGCATAACATTACGAGTCAAGGAAGAAAAAGTATTTCATCCCAAAACATGCTTCTTTGCCATATTTTGAAGTGGCCCTGCAAAGCTGTCCTTTGTGGGGGAAAACGTGCATCTGTAAAGAATCTCTATTCACAGAGCTAGATCGTTTTCTTCCAGGCCCTCCCAACCCTGAAGAGATGAAGTAAGAGTCTTAGCACCTTTTTAAAGGTCTGATTAGGAAACATTTGTCATCTATTGTCTCCAAGGGGAGCCACTATAAGACTTAAAAAGAACCTTGGTCTCCACAATCTTTCATCTTAACCTGAACATTTCCTTTCTATTGATCCCAGGTCTTTAGACAACTCAACCAAGTGCCAACCAGAAAATGTTTAAATTTACCTATAGCCTGGAAGGCCCCCTCCCCACCTTGCTTTTGAGCTGTCCCGCCTTTCTGAACCAAACCAATGTATTTCTTAAATGTATTTGATTGCTGCCTCATGCCTCCCTAAAATATATAAAACCAAGCTGCGCCCCAACCACCTTGGGCACATGTTCTCAGGACCTCCCAAGAGCTATGTCATGGCTGTGGTCACTCATATTTGGCTGAGAATAAATCTCTTCAAATATTTTGCAGAGTCTGTTTTTGTTGACACCTGCAGTGAAGAAGGCCCTGGGGGCCATCTAGCTGCCCCCTCTGCTGGGATGGTCACAAACATGCTTACTGCCCCCTTTGGCCTCCTTGGGGATGTGGGAACCCTGGCCTTCTCAGAGCCCGCCCAGCAACCAGCACCCACCTTGGTTGGCCTCCCACGGTCAGGATGCCAGTTGGGGAACAGCAAACCTGGGTGCCACGGGTCTGCACGCTGCCTCCCCAGCAGCAGCTGGTTTGGTTCAGCCTGGAGCTGAGGTGGCTGCTGTTGCTCATTATGGTAGGGCCCGAGCATTCTGCGGCCACGTCCTCCCTGCAGTGTTAGGCCTCAGGTTTGTCACTGGCCCTTGTCTACCCTGGGCCAGTCCCTGGCCGTGGCACAGAAGGAAGGAAAGCCACGTTCTGCTATCCTCCCCAGCTCAGAGAGGTAATTGGTCTTGTCTGGCAGAAGTGGGACTGGCACTTTCTACCAAGCTACATCAGAGTCTGAATCACATAACTGCTTTTAAGGTTTTCCCTTCAAGCTTGTGGCCTACTGAGACATCCAGAATCTTTTCAGCTTCCCAGGTCCACAGATGGTTCCACCACCAGTTTTGAAGCAGGGGTTGGTCATTCTGCCCTGTCATTACAGTGGAGAGGATGGCTCAGGCTTCAGCTGTCCCTGGAGGGCAGTGAGATCAAATCTAGGAACCTCTGGATTTGCCCTTTCTGGACACATTCTTGAAGCCAGTAGGAAGGGACGTTTCCTTGGCCCGCATCTGCATCAGTGGCCCCAGCTGCCACTCCCCAGCACTTCCTCCCCACCCAATTGCCCCAGCTGACCTGGAGCACCCACTGAGCTCCATGCACATCACAGGCTGTCCCACCCCAAAGGAGGAAGATGGGCACACCAGTCCTCACCTGTGACACAGGGACAAGGCAGCTGTTGAGGAAATATCAGGAGGTGATGTGGCAGGCAGGGCGAGGGAGCACTCAACAGACGTGCCTCATGGATCCCCTCCCGCATCTGCCCTGGCACCTGGTGCCCAGGCCACAACCACTAACTCCCACCACTCCTCAGACCTCTGCAGCATCGCTCTCCCAGGCAACGGCCTGCCCCTCAGTCAGAACCGCTCAGATGCCTGCCCATTGGGTCGGTCTCTCCAGCGACTGTGCCAGGAATGCCCCTGAATCAGCAGCTGCTCCCAGACATTTGCTGCCAAGTGACACCTACCGGGGGGTGGGACTGACAGCAGTGGGAGCGAGACGGGGGTGTCCTGAGGCGGCCTCAGGAGAACACCTCCAAGGGTGGGAGGCTCCCCAAGGCTGTGCACTGGGGCACCCTGCCTGGGGACTCGCCCACCCCACAGGGAGAGCCCGAGCTCTCGTGGCTGGCCTGGCTCGGTGGAAAGGGGCCCCCAGCCTGCCCCAGGGATGCCACTCCTTGAACAAGCCCTCCTCTGGGCACCTTCCCTCCCCCATCTCCCTCAAGCACCACACAGGGTGGGCAGGGCAAGGTGTGCCTCCTCATCCCAGAGATGTGAAATGGGGCCTGGAGATGCAACATGGCCTGCCCAAGGAAGCCAGCAGAGTGTGGTGGCCAGGGGTGCACTATCAGGAGTTGGAAAACCTGGGTTCCAGCAGAAGCCCCTTGGACCCTCTGAGCCCACATCCTCTCTGTGAGACAGACGGTGATGCCCGACAGATGCTGTGCCCACAAGCTGCCCTGTCTCCGCTCATCCGGCAAAATTCTCCAGGTGGGAGGAGTGCAGTCACCCCCATTGGACAGATGAAGGTCTCCTCCCTGCAGGTTGAGGCAGGGGGAAAGGCCTCCTCGAGGAAAGAAAGAAACCTCCTTATCTCATGCGCCTCATCCTGATGATGTGTGAGACTGAGTCCAGGGTGTTGAAGGTCTGGGCTATTTTGAGTTCATGGGTCTTATAAGGCTGTCCCTTGGGTGTGGGACTGCAGTCACTGTCCATCATACAATTTGCAGACCCCATAGTGGGCCTGGGTGAGTCCTGGGAGACGCAGCTCCAGGCCTGACTCCACTGCTCCCTGGCTTGTGACTGGGAGCCGAGCCTTTCACCACCTGGAGTCCTACAGCGGCCGTCCTGCTTCACCCACAACCCTGTCCCTCTCTCACTGCTGTAGGCCTTAGAGTGAGGACCCTGAAAACAGACTCAGAGACAATGTGCCCCAGCAGCCAGACCAGATGGCACCTCTTTGCTGGTTTTGTGCCAGTGGGTGTAAGGGCGGTGGCGGAGGCAGGGGGACGGTATCCCTCTGGGTGCCTCAGGAATGTTCCAGACCCTTACAGAAGCCCCATGAGTTGGGTAGACAGAGACTCCCACCCCATCCCAAGACAGCAAAGCTAGCCCTGAGGGCACCCAGCAAGGAGGTGGCAGAGCCAGATCCAGAACCCAGGTCCTCAACTGAGAGCTTGCTCTAACATCCTACCTGGCTGCAGCTCCCAGGAGGCCCTCCTCCCCACATTGCCCTAAGCTTGGCCCAGTGCTCTGTCAAGTTAGTCTTGGTTCCAGCCACCTGTTCATGGGCTCTCTGACACTGCTGCTCTGCTGACCCTGGCCCATGCAGGTCTCCAGGCTCTGCTGAGCTGGTCTCAAGGCTCAGAGTGCAAGTGAGGAAGGACACCCTCATCTCCCTGGGTGCTGCTTCAGGGAAGTCCCCTGCATCCCGGGACTGGGAGAAGGGGCTAATCGGGTCAGTACAGGGTGAACAGGATGGGATCCCAGGTCTGTCTAGCCCCAGGGCCACCTCCACACAAGGCACGATCCCCTTGCCTGCCTGATGCAAGTAGGGGTGCAGAGGCCAGGGCTGTGCTGTGCATGGTGAGAGTGAATTGGTGCTTCATGGTTTTCTGGGTTCTTGCCTATCTGGCTGCACAAGGCCTCTGCCCCGCCCTCCCTCATCCCTGCACCATCACTTCCTGCCAGTCTCCTACAGCCCCCAGAATCATCCTCTCCATCCACAAGTTCTCACATAGATGGGTGCTTTGTTTTCATATACCTCATGTCATTTACAAGACTTATGAAAGAGCCATACAACAGCAGTTTAAAATAGTAGCCAAAGGTCATGGTAAGAATTCCCACAAACTCACATCTGAGGGTGCCTGGGCTTCCCAGCAGCAAAAGCAAAGAGGGAAAGATGACCAGAGAACAAAGATGAATTAGGCCCCCTACCTCCTACCTTTGCTGTTCACAGGGACTCTAATACTTTAGAAATGACTATTTTCTCCTTCAAGGGAAAATGGAGTATTTGTTTTTTCCACAGATCCGGGCAGCTGATAGCCTCTCATAGAAAATGGTTTCCAATCCTCTCCAGCCTCATCTCCTGGGGCTCCGTTCCTTCCCAGGGCCCTGAGTGTGGCCCACCAGGTATCCTGTCTTCTTGCCTTTCCCTGGCTCAAATTCAAACCCTCCTGCTGATTCTGATGCCAGCCCCACCTCCCTCACACCGCGGGCCCACTGTGGGGCAGGGCATTGCAGGCATTCTTACAAGCACTGAGGTAGATTTTTTTTTTTTTTTTATAGTGTGCATGACCGAGGAGGAAATGAAGGCTCAGGGTGACTGAGGGACTCGCCCAAGGCCACAAGGAGGTGTGTGTAGGGCCAGGATCCAAGTCCCTGAGCATCTCACCTGCATGTCCCCCAGGGTATGGAACCAGTGCTGTTAGGGTTTACTTTGTAAAGCCAAATCTTGATTGCCGTCTGGGAGCCCCTTGAGGGCAGGGATGTTGTGGGATCCCAGAGCCTTCCTGGTGTGGAGCTAGGTTCCTGGGAGATATTCACTAACCAGGCTGCCTGGGAATAACCCTGTCCAAGCAACAGAGCCCAGCCCTAGCCTCAGGGAGAAGGGGTGGCCTCCCAGCACCCTTAGCCCCAGCTGAGGACTTTGTACACACAGCCAGGGTTGCTGGCTGATACACTGGCCGTGAGTG
Source organism: Homo sapiens (assembly GCF_000001405.40). Taxonomy (NCBI): domain Eukaryota; kingdom Metazoa; phylum Chordata; class Mammalia; order Primates; family Hominidae; genus Homo; species Homo sapiens. The sequence goes on along the minus strand of NC_000022.11, from coordinate 30,882,095 downwards.
ACCTCAGTCCCCCTCAAGGCTACCAAAGGGCCAGCTGGCATCGTGCAGCAGGGAGACAGGAAGTCCCTAGGACAGCTGGGCCTCATTTGGGTACATGTGCCTAGGCTGGGCACATGCAGGTCGTAGAGTGTCACAGTCACCTAAAAGCGGGGCAGGGTGAAAACTGCTGTGCCCTAATATCAAAGGCCTCATGTGGCTGCACCCAAGACCTTTACCCCCACAGCACATGAGCTGCCTGGTCACCCCATGGATGCAGAGAGCCCGTCCACCTCCCCCAGCCCGGATGCACCCACCTGGTGTCCATCCCTGACTCCCAGGGTCTCCTCTGCTGCTGCCGGCCTTCTCCAGGCCCCATCCTGGCTGTGCTGTGGGGAGAGGCAGGCGCCTGGCGTGGCCCTGCTGTTCTCAGAATGCTGAGCTGGGCTGTGTGCTGTGTGCTTGATAAGCTGGATTAGGCTTGGGGCCCGGCAGAGGGACTGGCAGGGGGAGGTTCCCAGGGGCCCAGGGAGGGCCTGGCTGACCCAGCCCAGGCCTGAACGTGGTCTCATTTCTCTGAGGCTGTGTGACAACTCTACCTGGGGCCAGGAGACTCGTGCTCAGCTGTGAGCAGGAGGAGAGACGGGCTGACCTGAAGCCCCCTACCCGCACATTTGTGTCCTGAATTGTTTAAGGGGAAGAGAGTGAGGGGTCCTAGTGGGAGCTGGAGGTGGTACCTGGGCCCTGCATGGGTGCTACCCCACTGCCCAATCCTGGGACAGGCCTGTAATCTCCTGGCGCCCTCCTGGGCTCCTACAGAGTCCCTGATTCTGTGACCTGTCAGGTTGATTGTCCTCAGCGTGGGGACAGAGTTCCAGTGTCCTGGCCCTGCCCCTTCTGCCTACCCCCAAGTGCTGCACAGAGGGTTCTGGTGAAAGGGGTGTTGGGGGTATGGGTGCTCTGAGATGCAGAGGGGCCGGCCTGGGGTGCAGAGCCCCTGGGCAGTGTGGTCCTGTCTCCATGGGGAGGGCAGGGAGCCTGTCGAGTTGCCCCCAAGCAGAGTGAGAACCACAAAGCTCGACAGACAAGGGGGGTCTCCGCCCTGGGGCAGCCCCACCTGGGGAGTCCAGGCCCTGCCTGACCACCAGGGACTCTCCCTACTGAGAAGTCTGGCCTGGGGAAGAAGGCTGTAAGGGCTGCCCACCCAGGGGAAACCAAGTCAGGGGCCATGCCATGTGAGGTCTGAGCAGGGGTTGCTGCTGGTCACCGGTGCCCCATGGGACAGACATTGAGCATCTCTGACCTGGAAACCTTTGCCCAGATGCACCCCAGGAAGAGGAGGACAAACTCTAATCGCTTTTGCTGTTCCTAATCCTAATCCTAATCCTGACAGTGATCTCACTGCTCCCCAGGCCAGGCGGGAGAGCAAGGTGTGAGGTCAGCTAGCCTGGGTCCCCTGTGTGTGACCTAGGGCAGCCTCTCAGGCTCTTGGGAGCATGCAGAGCCAGGACCCTGTCTGGCCTTCAGTGGCTTCCTGGAAACTTCCCTTCTAGACAGGGATGTGAGGGAGGCACCAGAGGCCTGCTGGGCATTGACGTGGGCAGCCACTGGGCTCACGGAGGAGGTGGGGAGATGGGCCAAATGCCCATATGGTCCAGGCTAGGAAACTGGCTCCAGCCATTAGCACACACAGGAGGTCCCAGCACCCCTGGTGCAGGGATAATGGGAGAAAGGGCCGTGTTCTTATCTGCGGCTGGTCCAGGACCTGCCAGGCATCTGACGTGTCTGCCCTCTGGCTCTGGGCTCCCAGGTGGGCGGCCGGAGGACCCTCTGCTCTCCAGGTTTCTAGGGCCAAGGCTACCCACCCTCCACGCTGATCCTCACATCCCTTGTTGCCACAGACCCTGCCTCTCACCAGCCTGGGGTTCTGAAGGTGATGAGCGGTGAGATCGCAGAGAGTCAGGGTCTCCCTGAACCCCTCTGCATGGCCAGGGGACTCACTGGAGTAACAGGATCTTGCCTCCCCTGCCATTGAGGAGTGGCGGGCTGGCCTCACCTATTTTTTTTTTTGAGACAGAGTCTTGCTCTTGCCCAGGCTGGAGTGCAGTGGTGCCATCTCAGCTCACTGCAACCTCTGCCTCCCAGGCTCAAGCGATTCTCGTGCCTCAGCCTTCTGAGGAGCTGGGACTACAGGCACCTGCCACCACACCTGGCTAATTTTTGTATTTTTAGTAGAGACAGGGTTTCACTATGTTGGCCAGGCTGGTCTCAAACTCCTGACCTCAAGTAATCTGCCCGCGTCGGCCTCTCAAAGTGCTGGGATTACAGGCATGAGCCACCATGCCTGGCTTGGCTTCACTTTACACAAGATGAAACCCAAGCTCAGCAGGTGCCTCACAAAGGCAGGAAGGAGCTGCACTGCGATTCTGGTCTTAAGTGTCCAAGACCCAGACTGGGGACCCATGGAGCCACAAGGGGAAGTGCTGGGCTCCCCCGGGGATCCCTTTGGCCCAGCCAAGCTGTCATGCTGTGTCTCCATCACCTGCCTGACCCCCGAGGCGGAGCTTCCAGGGCCTGCTCCTCACAGGAGCGCTTGGCCCAGGCTGGTAGCACACAGGGGTTTCAGCCCTTCCCAGTCCCCACCGGGGGTCGATCAGAATGTCTCCTTGACTTGACTCACTCTCGGCACTGGTGAAGCAGCTTTCCAGTCCAATTAAAACTTTAAAATAGCCTCTCCACATTCAAAATAGTTTGCCACTCGCACACAGGAACCAACACCATCTGGCTTCCAGTTTGCCAACTGATTTTAGACAAATCTGGAATCTATTTTTACCCATCTCCCCAGGCCCTGGATGAGCAAGCTGTCAGAGCAGGACGGTGGTCAGCTGGGCAGAAACCTGCCCCACAGGCCCCGGAGGGACAAGGGAGGGCAGCTCCGGGCCTCTCACCCCTGCCTGGGTTGGCCTAAGGAGCCCCACGTGATCTCCTGGGCCGTGAGCCAAGAGGGGCCTCAGAGAAGCCTCAGCATGTCCAGCAGTGGGGCCCCTTCTGATGCGGGTCTTTGTTTCTATGATGCCCCACATCAGAAGCCCTGTCTGAGGGCCCCAGGTTGCTGTCTCTGTTCCTGTGACCCTCTTCCCAGCAGCCCCTGGCTACCCCCAGTGCCCACTCTATCTGGTGCCCCCAATGTCTCCTACTTCCCCCTCATACTTTGCCCTTGCAGCTGGAGTGTCCCCAAGTGGAGTGTCCCCCGAGCCGACTCCATCGAGTGCTGGCTGTGCCGGGTGCCCTTCCTCCCCAGGTTTTCCCATGTCCTTGCCATCAGGATGTCGCAGGCACCCCATACTGCCCAGCCAGCCCTGCGGCAGGCACCAAAGTGTGTCTCCTGAGGGATGCTACCTTCCTTGGTAAACCCAGGGACCAAGAGTGCGGCATCTCTCCCATCAGGCCTGGTAAGCATCTACCCTCTGTTGGCCAGCCCAGCCCTGCTTTCTGCCTGCACTGGGCACCTCGAGCTAGCTCTGCAAGCTAGCTCTGCCCACTCACTGGCTACACAAAACCCACTCCTGGGAAAGACCCTCCTGCATCCTGCGGAACCATGTGTGGGCCAAGCAGGGCGTCAGACAGCAAGGCCCCCATTCTCTAGCGGCTTAGGCCCCCAGCATGGGGTCCTTCCCCATGGCCTCTTTTCTCAACCACACAGCAACTCTGCTGTCCCTGCCTTCAGCTCAGAGCAGCACTGCCCACTCTCACGGGCGCCAGCTCTACTTTCTCTGCCCAAGGGGCCCCCGAAGGGTCTCCGAGCACTTGCCCCTGCCTCGCGGATAGCGCATTCTCCAAACAGCAGAGGGGTCTTGCTAAAATGCACGTGGGATCATTTTATTTGGCCTTGAGTCATTGACATTGGCATTGAGTCACTTGGCATTGAGTCCTTTGTCTCATTTCAAGTGGAAGCAGAACACTGTCAGCACAAGGTCCCTTGTGACTGGCCTCCTCTTCACTCCAACCTCCCCTCCTGTGGCTCCCAGTGCGCACTCCAGGGTGCCTGGCACCTGTGCCCCTGCTTAGCCCCCAGCCTGTCTGCACCTGTGGCCTTTCACCCCATCCCACCTCACTGGCTCTTTCCCCTAAAGGTCCTTTTGCCGCTGACATCCCATATCACCTATGTGGTTACAGCTCCCACAGGAGGGTGCGGGGCCCACAAGGCTGGGGCTGTGTTCACCCTCACAGCTCAAGGTTCCCAAGTGCCACAGGGGGTCATGTGGTCAGAAGGACCATGTCCTAGGCCCAGCATGAGTGACCAACTATGAGGAGCCTTCCAAGTTCAGGAATGGGGGTCGAGTCAGGTGCAGTCTGTCTTGCCTGGGCCCCGCCTGCAGGGACTGGAGGGACAGCAGCAGGAACAAGCCCACAGGCTGCTAAGAAGCAGGATGGAGCCCAGCTGCCAGCCCACCTAGGGGGCTCAGGACTGCAGGGGAGAGCACGCCCCAGCCTTGCTCTGCTGCCCTGGCCTGCAGACGGAACCTGCTCCCGCAGCTTTTTCACTTTATGGATGCTAACACTCCAAGCCTGAGCTTGTAATATGTACGAACTCAATCATTCTCCACCTTAAGCCAAGTGACAGAGGCAGTGCCACTGTACAAGGTATACCCTGGTGCTCAGGGAGGACGCTGCTATGAGGGAGAATGTCCCCACCTCATGCCTGGCCGAGCACCTGTGGGCAGGCACGTTATGGTTCAAGACTCATTCTAAAAACCAAAGTCATTTAATAGTCCTACGGGGTTTCTCTTAAATGGCAGGAGAATTCACAGTTACCCAAAACAGTAATTCAAGCACGGATCTGCTAGGCTAGCTTTTATCAGAGTCAAAAAAAATTACCCACTAGGGAATTTTGCCAGACACTAAGCGATTCATTCATTTGCTCCTGTGATTTTTCACAATATTCTCCCCACCCCTCCTCTCTCTCTCTCATTTGCTGAGGCTCCCATGTGCTGGGCTCTGAGCCAGGCATAGAGGCTACAGGGCTACGGGGATTGTGAGAGATACTGCGTCCTGCCCTTGCAGGAAGGACAGGGTGAAGATGCTGCAGTGGAAAGATCTCTGAGACTCTGCAGGCCTGCAGAAGGTGGGTGGCCAGTGGTGCCAGGACAGGGATGCAGGGTGAGGGTAGACAGGGGAGGTGTTCCTGACCTCCTGACCCTGATCAAGGGGAGGGTCAGGTTTATTTCTCTACCATAATGCAGCAGTGTAGTGGGCTCTGGAATCAGGAAGGTATGGGCTTGTATCCTTTTCAGCTGGGATCCTGAGCCCCTCAGCCTTGGTCTCCCTATGCGTAAGCCTGCAGAGTAGGGGCAGGGGAGGTGCATGCAGAATGTCTGGCATGCCACGCAATGCATGGAACACTCATCCCCTTTCCCATCCTGGCTCCCCACTGGCAGGGCCTGTCCCAGCCCCTCATAGCCCAGTCCTTAGGAGCTGGGGCATGGGTGTTGGGGGAACTGCCACCAGGGCAGGAAGACGCAACCAGGGACAGGTGGCCTGTGGGGAACGGGTCGGGAGAGGCTGCTGGGCCCACCAGAGATGCTCAGGAATCGTGTGAACCCCATACCCTGTTTCTCTCTCATGGCTGAAAGCCAAGAGCCAAGCTGATCTCTCCAGGTTCCCTGAGGGGGACGGCAAGGAGTCTGCTCTCCTTTCCAGGGCAGTGGGGCGGTGAGGCCACCACCCACACAGTTGACAAGCCTTGCCCAATGACCAAGTCCTGCCCACGGGCCCACCATGACTGGAGAACTGTCCAGAGGCCCAGGAAGGATAACTGGGTGGGCAGGTGGGAATAACAGAGGAGGGGGGCTTCAGAGCCAAACCGGTGCAGGTCCCCATCCTGGCCAGAGCAGAAAGACCTGCGCACGATGACAGCCCAGAAGGGAAAATAGTAATATTTTCCTTCTCTGCCTGGGAGAAAGCCTACTTCCCATTCTGTGTCTGCTGCCTCGGCCCTCTGTAGGCCCAGCCAAGGCTTGCCCTGGCTTTCCCGCTGGGCTGTGGTCAGCTGGACAGGAATCTGCCTCTCCGCCAACTGGGAACCTTCCCGGGCTCTTCCCTAAACTTGGCCTTCAAAAGTGGGCATGTGAGCTGGCGGCCCTGGGTCATCTTAGAACAGGTCACACTGATGAGCACATGCCTGGCAGCCTGTCACTTTAAGAGTTTGCTGGATTGCCTGTTCCCTGCGAGTCCCTGCCTGGCACAGGCCTGGGCAGGGATCAGGAGGCAGCTGCTAAGGTCTGATGTCAAATGCCCATCAGGCAGGGCTTTCCTAGCTGTGTGATGAGAGAGGGGTTGCCCTGAGTTCATGACGGGGCTGCTGACTTACTCAGATGCTGACCCCAGAGGGTCCTTCCAAGGCCCACAAAGTACACCCTCTGAGTCCGGCTAGAAAGAACCCTGCCAGGGCCAGGCGCGGTGGCTCACTCCTGTAATCTCAGCACTTTGGGAGGCCGAGGCAGGCGGATTACCTGCAGTCGGGAGTTCGAGACCAGCCTGACCAACATGGAGAAACGTCTTCTCTATTGAAAATACAAAATTAGCCGAGTGTGGTGGTGCATACCTATAATCCCAGCTACTCAGGAGGCTGAGGCAAGAGAATAGCTTGAACCTGGGAGGCCGAGGTTGTGGTGAGCCAAGATCATGCCATTGCACTCCAGCCTGGGCAACAAGAGCGAAACTCCATCTCAAAGAAAAAAAAAAAACAACAAAGAACCCTGCCAATCAAAATGCCACAAGGCAGAGGGAGGCTGGAGCCCAGTGTGGCGTGCACATGGAAAGTGTGGTTGCCCATACAATTTAATGCCACGAAATGCTGTTCTGGGCCAGGTGATCCCTCTGGAAGGGGAGTGCAGGGGGGTGCGGGGTGCAGGGGTGACCTCGGCAGGCTGAGGCCTCGGGGCTGGGCCTCCACTTTCTCACTGACCTTGTTCAGGTGAGAAAATGGGACTAGAAGAGCTTTGTAATAGGTAACATCACAGGTAAATGTGAGCCGTGGGCCACTTGGAGTGCTTTATCTAGAGACACAAGACCCACTATGAAACATCACTCACTGGCACTCCCACGGAGCTACTGTCGGGGACACCCGTGAGTAAGACACTCAGCCTGACCTCAGGGAGCACAAAGCCCACTGGGGAGTGATTGAAACAGTGGATTAAGTGCCACGTGGTCGTATGCCTGGGAGCCGGGGTCCCAGCCAAGAGGACGGCTGCCCAAGAGAGGCCTTGGAAAGCCATGGTGATGTCCCTGCGGGGTTCTGAAGGATGACAAGGGAGCTGCCAGTACCTGAAGGGTGAGGAAGGGGTGTTCTAGAAGGTACAGCACTGGTAAAGGCGTGGGGGGTTGAAACACAGCGTTGCTGTTCCAGATTCCCAATCCAGAAACCACCTCTGAGCACCTTGTTCCCTCAAACCCCTGGGGCTGAAGCCATTCCTGATATGAGGTGAGGATGGCTGCAGCGCCCTGCGAGGACCAGACGGTGCGTGGAATGGGCCTGCACCACTAGCTGTGGGTCCTGGGCTCTCGGGAATCATCCAGAGGACCCCCCTCCCTCCCTGCCCTTCTAGGAGCTGAGGACCTAAAGGCTTATGATATCAATGTCCTTTCCCAAACTTGAAAGAAATTTAGAAATCACCTGACTTTTCTTTTTTTCTTTTTTCTTTTTTTTTGAGACAGAGTCTCACTCTGTTGCCAGGCTGGAGTGCAGTGGCGTGATCTTGGCTCACTGCAACCTCCATCTCCTGGGTTCAAACGATTCTCCTGCCTCAGCCTCCTGAGTAGCTGGGACTACAAGAATGCACCACCATGTCTGGCTAAGTTTTGTTTGTTTGTTTTGTTTTTTTGAGACAGAGTCTCACTCTGTCGTTCAGTTTGGAATGCAGTGGTGCGATCTTGGCTCACTGCAACCTCTGCCTCCTGGGTTCAAGTGATTCTCCTGTCTTAGCCTCCTAAGTAGCTGAGATTACAGGTACGTGCCACCATGCCCAGCTAATTTTTGTATTTTTAGTAGAGACAGGGTTTCACCATGTTGGCCATGCTGGTCTTGAACTCCTGGCCTCAAGTGATCCACCCACCTCAGCCTCCCAGAGTGTTGGGATTACAGGTGTGAGCCACCACACCCAACCACCCTGACTTTTCTCCTGAAGCCGGAACAACCCCAGATTCTTTGTGGTCTTGGGGAAAAGTGAAGATGGAGCAGCCAGCCTGTCCCTGTAGGAAGAGAGCTGCCTGCCCCAGCGCGCTGTGAAGGACACCCTCCATGTGGGCTTTGTCTGGCCAGCCATCCCTCATTTTAGGCTCCACTTCTACGATCCGGCTCAATCAGAGCCCACAAAGTGGAAAACACACAGCATTTCACGAGGAAGAGGGTCTGCCCTGTCCGAGGAGCCAGTGGCAGTAGAGATTTCCCTAATGCAGGCACGGGCGCTAGGGGATGCTAGGAGCATCCCCGCACACATCACAGTCAGGATGGGGCTGGGGAGTGGGATGGAGTTGCAGTGGGGCCCCCACAGTGGGAGAAGCAGCTCCCTCTCACTGTGAGATCGGAAGAGATTGGGGGTGATGATTTCTACCTTCTGGGGACTGCGGTGCGTGGCTTCCATATCCAAGTCCCTGGCTTCCCAGGAGGGGCCCTGGTGGGGCTGCAGCCATGGTGACCAGAGGATACCTTGAAGCTGAAAGGTAAGACACTCCAGGGACTCACGGAGATCTTTGAGGTTGGGATCCCGCCCAGGGTGCGGGTGAGGCTGCCCCGCATCCTGGCCTTGGTGTGTAGCCACAGCAGGAGGGGGCCTCTGCAACCCTCCAAGGAGGTCACCCTTACCTCTTTGAGGTAATGAGAGAATGAGGGCCATCACTTCTCTTGCAGGCCACACAGACCTGGGTTTGCATGTATCTTGGCATGGCCACCTACCAGCTGGGTTATGCTGGTGACTTCCCTGAGCCTCAGTTTCCACGTTGACACTAACAATCCCTCAAGGTGCTAACCAGGCTGTTGGAAGGGGTAAGTGGTCTGGTGCCTGAATAGGCTCCCTGGAGGTTTGGAGGTGGGAGCAGCATGGATGTTCTAGTTACAGAGCCCTGGTCCAACACCTTCTCCTAACAGGTACCAAAGCCAAGGCCTGGCCAAGGGTGGGAATGCCTGTATCCCACGACCTTCAGGCAAGTGGCCGGCTTTGCCTACATGGCTCCTCTGCACACAGTGGGGGCTGAACCCTTGGTGTCTGAGAGCCACGCAAACAGCCTTTCCAGAACTACCCCGGTTCCTGCCAGGCGAGGAGTGGCTGTCAGGAAGGGTCCCCAGGGGAAACACAAGCCTCTGGGCTAGCCTGGGCTACAAGCACAGTCTGTCGGGGCAGCACTGCACTCCTGCCCTCCCTGCCCCTGATTCAACAGCAGGAGCTTGGGGAGGGGCCCTCATGGCAGGCTAACACCAGCAGGTTTGGCAGAACCCAGCCCAGGGCACAGCTTCCGTCACTCAGGGCTGACTCTGCCGCCATGTTCCCCGGATGCTGGAGCTGCAGAAAGGAATCGTGACCAACCCCAGGGGGTTGTGCTTCTCATAAAACAATTCATTAGGCACTTAAACTTGGAGCTGTTCTGATGGCTTCGTAAACACAGATGAGCCTCTGATGTCTGATAAAAGACTGTGCAAGACGGCAGCCAGCTGAGACGCTCATTATCTCGGAAAAGCCAAAACTGCTTATTCAAGACAAAGCAGTTTTGGTCTCGGGTAGGGAGGCAGTGCCTGGGAAGCCTCCGGCAGTGGCTTCTGGGAGGGACAGGGAAATACAAACGCATTATTATGTCATTCAGTGCTTCACATTTGTGTGTGTCCCTGGTAGAAGTACAGCAATCTGGTCTGTGGGCTGTAAGGAGGACAGTGGGCCTGAGAGGGTGGATGTAGGAAAACAGTGCAGGTGACAATGGGGCCAACACGCAGGGTGGCCCAGCAGCCTCTCAGCATCCTTGGCATATGGGGCCAACTGCCCCCCACCCCCCAGCACTGTGGGATCTGGGATGGACAAGGTGCACACACCTGCTGAGCTGAGGCGGGTGGGCACCTGCAGGCTGAGTTTCCCAGCAGTCGGGAAGGGGGGCACACCTCGCCCAGCCTCAGGCCCCAGGGTGGGATTCCCAAGGCTGCATTTGGGTGCTCCAGGCCTGAGCCTGAGCATATCTGGGCAGGTGTGGGTGGTGGGGTGGCCCTCCTGCCCCACAATCATGCTGCCAACAGGCCAGTGAAGCCGGCTTGGGGCAGGTCTTGGATGCCCAGGTTTTAGCCTGGGCTCTTGGCCTGCGGTGAGCTCCAGCCTCTATCTTCCCACCCTGCCCTTGCATTTCTTGCGGGGCCTGGAGCTTGGTCCCAGCTCCCAGTCCGGCCCTGGTCTAACCTCCTAGTTTGGGGGCTGGGTCCCCCAGCTGGAGGTCACCCAGGCACCAGCACTGCCCACTGTCCCCAGCCAGCACGATGACTCTCCTGAACCCCCTTCTCTGGACCTCACTTCTTCCTCTGCGGCCTCCATTTCTGTACAGCTCCTCTGCTCTGGTCTCCTTACTCCCAGCAGGCCACCCCAAGCTCCTACAACTGCACCCCTGGCCCAGATGTGCCGCCCTGGGGGACTGTCCTGGGAGGAGGCTGTTGCAGTCAGACCTGTGTCTGGAGGGTGGAGGCCTGGAGGAGCACGCACACTTCTGGGGAACACTCCCCAGACAGAAAGAGGGAAGCAGGGCCAAGCACTATCCTCCTACCACCATCGAGACACCCTCCTGGCTCCCAGTCCTAGCCGTGTGGCTTCCAGAGCCAGGGTGAGCGGCTGACTCCTGTGGCGGGGCTGCTTAGTTTACAACTGCGGTTACCTGCTTTGTCTACCATCAGGTTGGCACGACCTCGGCAGGCTCAGCTCTGAGGCCCTTCTAGCTCAGGGAGCCCTCGACTGCAGCCCCCCACCACACCCTCCCCTTGTTGTGCACAGCGTCTGCTCCCACTGCATCTGGGGAGTGAACCCAGGGAGGAGGAGTAGCAGCCACCGAGGGCCAGTGTGGCAGCTGTGTCCCTACTGTGTGGGCAGAACTGACCTGCTGGGCTAGCTACTTAACTTGGGGCCCCGACCTTCCTTATCGAGGCATGAAGTAAATAACTGCAGACTGCACCAGAGTCCACAACCAACTCGTTTCCTCCAGACAATTAGGAAGAATGTCCTTGCCCAACGACGGCCGAGTGAAGGAGATGATTTAAGAACTCGGAAGCTAGCTGGGGGGCGCTGGCTTTGGGAAACACCGTGGAACCGCAGGAAATGGAACGCTGACCCTTCAAGCTGACCCTGGTCACCCACCGAGGGACCCCGGGGCTGGAGCCAGGGAGCCCCGTGCCAGGGCGGTGGGGGTGGGTACTCACGTTGATCATAGCATTGGATGTGATGCGGAAGAGGGTGGCCCGCTCATTCACCACCTTCAGCTTCTCCCCACTCTCAGATGGGATCTTGAGGCCGTCCAGCTCTGTCAGGGAGCGCTGGAGTGCAGCGCCGTGCTTGGCGATGAGGTCATTGCACGTGCTGAGGTCATCTAACTTCAGGGAAAGATTCTTCAGGGTGTGGTGCAGCTCGCTCTTGTCGGCTGGGGTGGTAGCCTCGTCGTCGTCCCCAGAGTCATCTGTGGAAGAAAATAGAGTTGTTACGGTCATTACGAACAGACGTGGTACCAAGAGGCCTGCACAGCCAGGCCGAGCAGGGCAGGGTGGATAGCGCCATTCAAAAAACATCAGTCCCCGAGATGGTGCCCGTTCCTGTTCCTGGCCGGGGTGAGGTGCCTGCCCCATCCTGGCCCAGCCTTCCCAGGGTGGGGTGGGCAAGGGCCCACCTGAGTCAGTGGGAAGGACTGTAAAGAGAGCCCAGATTGAATGGCAGGGCCGGGACTGGGCTTTGGAGGCGGCAGGCCTACAGGCACCCACCTGCATGCAGGGCGCCAGCTCCCTACATTGTGGTGTGCAGGGAAGGATGGGCTCTGCTGGGTGGAGAGGTGGAGACTGCTCTCTGGGCACAGAGGCCCCCAGAATGGAGCCTGGGCTCCTTTCTCAGCATCGCAGGCCTACCCCAAGCCAATCACCCCCGTCCAGTCAACCTCACTTTGCTCTCTGCTCATGCCCATCCCCCAGCCACACCAATCTGTCCCCTGTTCCCTGCAAAGGCCTGAGCGCTCCTGTTTGGGGCCTTTCCCGCCATGTCCCCACTGCATGGAACCTTCTCATATCTGCCCCCACCAGAGGTCCTGCCCCACCCACCCCTTTGAGGGCCAGCCCAATGCCACCTTCTGTCCAAACTCTGCCAAAAGAGCCTGGGCAACATGACAAAAGTCTGTCTTCTACAAAAAATAGAAAAATTAGCCGGGCATAGTGGCATATGCTGATGGTCCCAGCTACCCAGGAGGCTGAGGTGGGAGGATCACCTGAGCCCAGGGAGGTGAAGGCTGTAGTGAGCCATGATCGTGCCACTGCACTCCAGCATGTGTAACAGAATGAGACCTTGTTTCAAAAAACAAAACAAAACAAAAACACCCAAAACACAACAACAAACAAACAAAAACAAAGTCTGCCAAAAGGCCCAATGTCACAGTTGAGGCTCCCCTTCACCGATCTCCCTGCAGGAACACAGCCATTCTCACTGATAGAATGCCTTCTGTGTGCAGACACGCTGTGGCCCCTCAATGGCCTTGCAGGGTAGGGACTGGACCATCCCCAGGTGACAGATGAGGAAATCGAGGCTCTGAGAGGTGAAGTCATACCCACACTGCCTGGCTGGCCACCCTCTTCCTTCCGGGCTGCTGAGGCCTCCATGAGAGAGGCAGGCTGTGCCCTCTGCCAGCTCCCACGCCCCCTCTTACCTCTCTCTCACGCAGCTGCCCAGGGCCCCTTTCCTGCCAGCCCAGCCTGCATCTGGGGTTATGGGGCTGTGGGCGTCTCTGGGGGGTGGCGCACCACAGCAGGTGGGGCAGGAGGCAGCTGGCCTAGGGCCAGGCTGCTGTTTAACAATGGCACAGGACACCAAGAGGCTGACACCACCCAGTGAGTCCCAGAGCCTGTAACTGCCAAGGGGTTTCTGAAATGCCTTGTTTAGAAATAATCAGCTAAAAACTATTTTTAGATGAAGAAAATCTGTAACCCAAGATATAAGACTTTTTTTGAAAAATAATGCATACTGTGAGAGAACGTTTCTTCCCACGGCAGGCAAGGTACACGGGGGTGGACATGGCTGAGTCACTGTTCCGAGTGCACGTGGTGTCCATGGCAGGGTCAGGCCAGCCAGCTGCATGGGGCCCAAGCCAAGGGGAGCTGAGGAGGGTGCCCACGGCATACCCTGTCCCCCTCTGGCCACAGGGGCTTGGGTCAGCATCCAGCCAGGAGGCAGGGAGCCTCCCATCACAACTGCAGCCCCCAAATGACAATAACTTGTTATTCAAATGACCGCCTGCCCCTCTCATGGAGGCCCCAGCAGCCCAGAAGGAAGACAGTGGCCAGCCAGGCGGCCTGAGCATGGCTTCACCTCTCAGAGCCTCAATTTCCTCATCTATTGCCTGGGGATGGGACAGTCCCTACCCTGGCAAGGCCATTGAGAGGCCACAGCGTGTCTGCACTCAGAAGCCCAACTGCGGCCCCCAGACGTCTGGAGGCCACACGGGCTGGGCCAGGGTCTGGGCCACTGGCTCCGTAAGCTGTTGCTCTGGGCCTCACGGTAGAGGTCAGTAGACAGTGGCTATTCTTCCCTCCCTGCAGGCAAGAAAATGCAGGTTCTGAGAGGCCAAGCCACCAGCTTAGTGCCCAGCTATTGAGGGGCAGGGTTGGGATCTGAGTCCAGCTCTGTCTGCTCACAAGCCTCCCTTTCTCTGGATCAGCCTTAGAAAGGCTCTAACGGCTGATGTGTACCACACCTTTCCGGGTGCCAGGCTGTGGGTGAGGCGCTGCCTCAGTTAATGCCTGCGAAGACCCCGTGAGGTAGATCTGGGGACGGAAAGGTACATTGAAATTGCCCAGGGCCATGAGGTGAGGAAATTCCTGAGTAGCCAGGTCTCTGGCTTTAGAGCCTGTGCTCTTACCACCTGTCCCTGAGGCACACGTCATCTTCCAGGTTCAGTACATCTAATAACCAGAACGGCCAGCCCCCTGTCCATCAGAATGGCCCCCGGCTCAACACGGGGAGGGCCTTGAGGGGGTATGCCCAATGCAGATGCGGGTCAGCCCAAATGTGACCCCTGCTCTGTAAGCAAGAGCTGGTGAGAGGTACAGTGAGTCTAACTGTAAGCATGTTAGCATCCTTCTGTGTGGCAGGTGGAAGCAGGTAGCCACATTTCTGTATAACTTGTTATTCAAGAGTACACCTTAGTAAGCAGCCCTTAAGGTCCAAATTCAGGTCCCCAGGGACACAGGGACATGCTTGTTCTGGCCTCAAGTCACTGGCCGTGTTGTTGGGGCAGGATGAGAAGGCACTTGGGCCAATGATTACCCATGAGCACAGTCTGTTCTGCAGAGACAGGCAGGGAGAGGTCCCCTCAAAGGGACAGAGAGATCAGGAGAATGAGGGAGGGTAGGACAAGAGAGAGAGGGAATGAGTGAATGAGTGAGTGAATGAATAAGTGCTTCGGGGCCCACCTAGGCCCATGGGTTCCTCCCGGGGTTGGCGATCACACATGAGAAGGCAGGGTTTGAAGAAAGTTGGGGGTAGGTAGGGGTGAGACACAGAGGAGTAGGTTGGAAAGGGGAGAAGGTAAGGGGCCTCTGGCACAGACCAAGGAGACTGGCTCTTTGTCCTCTGGCAAAAGGGAGCATGTGGCAGTTGACAGCAGTCCATGGGAAAGACAAGACTGGTGGCAGGTGGAATCACAGGCGGATAGAGGGACAGAGAGGCCAGGAAGGGGTGGGCTTGGGCAGGAAGGACCCCTGCACCCAGCCCAGGCACACTGATGGTGGCTCCCACCCAGCTCCAAGGCCGTGAACTACCCGTCATAGGCAGGCTCCCATGCATACCCACACACACACCACCCCTCAAGGGAAGGTGGCATCACCCACCTCCCATGTTCTCACAGCAAGACAAGGATGCTGTGACACACACTGAGCACAAGGGGGTGGGCCTCACCCCAAGCCCAGGCAGAGGCACAGCTGAACAATGAAGGGGGCTTGGCCTCCACATGAGTAAACTCTGGCCACACTGAGTCCAGAAGTCTCAGTTCAGAACCGAGAGAGAATGATTTCCTGTCATTTTAAGCCACTTGTTTGTGGTAATTTATTATGGCAGCCCCAGGAAATTAAGACAATGGCTTGAAACAACACACATTTTTTTTTTTTCCTGTTTTTTGAGACAGAGTCTCGCGCTGTCGCCCAGGCTGGAGTGCAGTGGCGCAATCTCGGTTCACTGCAACCTCCACCTCCCAGGTTCACGCGATTCTCCCACTTCAGCCTCCTGAGTAGCTGGCATTACAGGCGTGCGCCACCATGCCTGGCTAATTTTTGTATTTTTAGTAGAGAGGGAGTTTCACTATGTTGGCCAGGCTGGTCTTGAACTCCTGACCTGTGATCCGCCTGCCTTGGCCTCCCGAAGTGCTGGGATCACAGGCCTGAGCCACCGCGCCTGGCCCAGAACACACATTTATTATCTTACAGCTCTGGAAGTCAGGAGTCCTGAAATCCAGGTGTTAGCAGGGCTGCGTTCACTCTGGAGGCTCCAGGGGAGAAGGCGTTGCTTTGCCTTTTCTAGCTTCTGCAGGCTGCCCTTACTCCTTCACTCATAGCCCCTTCCTCCATCTTCAAAGCCAGCAAAGAGGCATCTTCTACTCTCTCTGATCCAGTGATTGTGCTGGGCCCACCTGGGTAATCCAGGAGAATCCGCATCTCAAAATTCTTCATTGTATCTGCAACATCCCTTTCGCCATCTAAGGCAAGCCATCTAAGGCTCTGGGGATTAGGACATGGACATCTTTGGGAGCCATTTCTTGTCTGTCACACTGACTTGCTGTGGCTGGGCTGCACACTGTGCCACATTCTCACTCGCACTGATCATTACGGTCTGATTTACTGCCCGGGACTCGTCCCTGGATGCTCTCGAGTGGGTCACTGAGACTCCCGAGGCCTCACAAGTCCCTCTGTCCTTCCTGCAAAGACTGGCACATTTGCCTTCCTGACCAGGCTGTCTGCATGGAGGTGGCAGCCTGGGGTGGGGAGGCGGCAGTTCTGGGCCAGGCAGTCCTGCTCCTCACTCCACATGGCCTTGGGTAAGTGTGCTGGTCCTTACACCGGGGATATTAGTGGCTGCTCTGGGAAGGATGGTAACCACCCGGTGTGTGGCCAGTGCAGAGCTGGGACTTAACATGTACCAGGGCCTTAGGCCCCTGGCCCGGTCACCTTCCACTGACGCAACTCACTTTTGCACAAAACTGTCTTTTTTTTTTTTTTTTTTTTTTTTTGAGATGGAGTCTTGCTTTGTCACCCAGGCTGGAGTGCAATGGCATGATCTCAGTTCACTGCAACCTCCACCTCCTGGGTTCATGCAATTCTCCTGCCTCAGCCTCCCGAGTAGCTGGGATTACAGGCATGCGTCACAACACCTGGCTAATTTTTGTATCTTCAGCGTAGAGATGGGATGGGGTTTCACTATGTTGGCCAGGCTGGTCTCAAACTCCTGACCTCAAGTGATCCACCCACCTTGGCCTCCCAAAGTGCTGGGATTATAGGCGTGAGCCACCATGCCCGGCCATAACTGTCTTGAGTTTACTTCAAATCATAGAGGCTCGGAACCAGGGGAGGCCCTGTTTGTTTACTGTGCCCCCACACCCCATTCCCCACTCAGGGATCTCCTTGACCCCTGTAATAGGTGGCTCTGGCTGAGGAGGCCACAGGGCACCCCCTCAGGGCTGGGACCCCTCTAACATCAGGAGGCTCCTAGGAAGGAGTGGATTGCCATGGAATCATCTAGCGCAGGGGAGCCAGGTGGGCTATTTTTAGAAGTGGAGCTTTTTTCTCATCTTTGGAGGAAAACAGATCAAGTTTCTCATTGGGGAAGCCCTGTTGGGGGCAGCTTTTTGAAACCAAGAAACTGAAAGGCTGCATAGGCTGGTTATGGACTGGGGGAAGGTGACCCGGTGGTGCTTAGGGGGCAGAGGCCCTGCGGCCACCCCACTTGCTTGCTTGTTTCGGGGAAACTAACTTTGCCCTCACTGCCCGTGAGCTCCTCCAGGGTTAAGGCATAGATGTCCAGCAGGGACCCGTCCCCTCATGGGTGTCACTGGAGAGGAGAGCAGCCCTGAAGCAGGGTGGAAGGATGGCACTCACCCCGCTCACTGCACCCACACCCAGTGCTGGGCTGGATGAGTTTTGGGGGACGTACTGCTAAGATGGGCCTGGCAGGGGACAGGCCGGTGGGGCCTGGGGCTGGGGAGTGGCAAGAGCAGGGGCCTGGGGGAGGATGCTGGGAGCTGCGCACTCACGGGGTCCTGGGCGGGGAAGGACATTCAGACAGCCCATACCCAGCAAGGCTGGAGCAGCACCCACCAACGCCCCATATCCTTTCTCCTTCCTGGTTCTTCAGCCCATCCCAGTGCTGCATGCAGAGACCCTGCACCCTTCGTGCTGCCTTGGGCACTTTCCCACTCCTGAGCCACGCCGCACACACGCATTGCGGGATTTCTTTCTTTCCTCCTCTGCCAGAGCCCCATTGTGGGTCACTTCAATGGTACAGTGCCTGGGGCCCTCAGGCTCCCTCCTTTGGGCTCCCCAGCACTGGGCCCGTTCACCAGCCTCTGGCTAACTGGAGTCACATTTGAGGTATCCAAATATTTAAAAGAATGTGATGTAATCCCAGCACTTTGGGAGGCTGCGGTGGGCGGATCACCTGAGGTCAGGAGTTTGAGACCAGCCTGGCCAATATGGTGAAACCCCATTTCTACTAAAAATACAAAAAATTAGCTGGGCATGGTGGTGGGCACCTGTAATCCCAGCTACTCGAGAGGCTGAGGCAGGAGAATTGCTTGAACCTGGGAGGCGGAGGTTGTAGCAAGCTGAGATTGTGCCACTGCACTCCAGCCTGGGCGACAGAGTCAGACTCCGTTTCAAAAAAAAAAAACAACAAAAAAAAAACATGATGGCTTCTTTGAGAACATGGCTCAGAACTTGCTTATTTCCTGCATGTCCACAGACCAGGCAGGGCCCTGAGGGGAGCAAAGAAAGAGAAGCCTCGCGCTGCTCCCCACTCCCCACAGCAGGCATGCCTGCATCAGTGCAGTATAGGGGCTGCTGTGTCGGAGGCTGATATCCAACTGTCAGTCACCAGCAGGATTCGCTCTGACCAGTGGACCTCCCTCGGGCCCACAGTGTGATTAATGGAGACAGGCACTGCTGTCCCTCCCCTCTCTGCAGAGCGAAGTTCAAGTATGCAGGACTGGGAATGGGCAAGGCCTAGTCCCCGAGCCCTGGCAACTTTCCAGCCCATGACCTTGTCCTCAAGCGGTCACTGCTCTCTGGGACTCCCATCACAAGGCTCCAGACCCCCAGAGCAGGGCATTCATTGCATCTTGAGCACTACCGACTTTAAGCAGGGCATGCATCCTATTTTGTCACAGTCTGGCTATGCAAAAAGACATTCCACCCCCACGTGGGGGCTCTGAGGAGAAACAGCGCAGTGGTGTCATTGGTTTCCAGTGAGGACTGCGGGGGCGCTGCACCCTCGCCAGAAAACTGCACCCTCGCCAGAAAACAGCCATTCCCAGCCCGTGTGGTTGGCGCCTCCAACATTCAATTACAGCAGCTTTGGTGACTTTGATTTAGATTTGGGAGGGCTGTTAAGCTGCCTGAGCCTGATCACAAAATCCAATCGGCCAGATGCTGATAACAGAGAGAAAGGCTTGGGGTGGGAGTCTGGGGGATATCAAGCAACGTCACCGTGTTTGAGAACGAACAGCCCAGTTGCTGGGTGACTGCCTCCTCTGCACTTCCAGCTGTTGGGTGGTTTCCACATGTTACATGGTATTCTGCAAGTGTCACCCCCAGAAGAGGAAAGGGTGTGGCATGAAGAGTTAGGAGCCTGCCCAAGACCCCAAGTCTGTTGATTATTTTTTCTTTTTTTCTTTTTTTTTTTTTTGAGACAGAGTCACCCGGGCTGGAGTGCAGTGGCAAAATCTCGGCTCATTGCAACCTCCGCCTACCAGGTTCAAGCAATTCTCCTGCCTCAGCCTCCCGAGTAGCTGGGATTACAGGCGCCCGCCACCACACCTGGCTAACTTTTTGTATTTTTAGTAGAGACGGGGTTTCACTATGTTGGCCAGGCTGGTCAGGAACGCCTGACCTTGTGATCCACCCACCTTAGCCTCCCAAAGTGCTGGGATTACAGGCACAAGCCACCGCGCCTAGCCTTTTTTTTCTTTGAGATGGAATCTCACTCTCTCACCCAGGTTGGAGTACAGTGGCACGATCTCGGCTCACTGCAACCTCCACCTCCCAGGTTCAAGTGAGTCTCCTGCCTCAGCCTCCCCAGTAGCTGAGATTACAGGCATGTGCCACCAGGCCCAGCTAATTTTTGAATTTTTAGTAGAGACAGGGTTTAACCATATTGGCCAGGCTGGTCTTGAACTCCTGACCTCAGGCGATCTGCCTGCCTCACCCTCCCAAAGTGCTAGGATTACAGGCTTGAGCCACTGTGCCTGGCCTGCTGATCTTTACCGACAGCCTAGTGGCACCTGCCACCCCCATGGCCCTGGAGGCCAAGAGACCACAGCAGCCTGCTAGGCCAGGGGCTGTGGGACCAGGTGGGCCCCCTGCCCAGCCTGCCCTGCTGCTGCCCTCCAACCTGGCCTAGAGGGGGCAGGCGGGGAGCGGAAGCCCTGCCTTGGAGTGGCACTAGAGGAGGACCCAGCCCCTCCAGGCTAGGGCTGCCAACGCTCTGCCCACTCAGGCAATGGAGAAGGAGAGTCTGCGAGGTCTTCGGCGAGCTTCCAAAAGAACAGGGAGCCTCTGACCAGACACAGGAGGGGTCACACAGGAGCCACTGGGTGAGAGTTGGGAGATGACTTTAGGCTGCAGGTAGGGCTCTGAGAAGGCTTTTGGGATGAGGTGGCAGCTTTACAGCTGGTGCAGGATGGTGACTTAGTGGCAGGTGGCACGGGAGGAAGATGCCGCTCCAGGGAGAGGAAGGGGCAGGAGCCCCAGGACAGAGGTGGAACGGGCCAGCGCTCGGACCCTGAGCCCCCCTGAAGCTGCAAGTGGGAGATAGAAGCGGCGAGGGCCCCTGGGAGCAGGAGCAGCGCCCCTGAGGCACAGCCAGTCCTTCCTGATTGGGGAACCCAGAAAGATAACAGATCTGCCTTACCCAAAGTGGGCCCTGTGGGGGTTCTGCCACAAAAGGGATCATTAAAAATAAAGACCCCTGGGTAACCAGACAAGTGACGCCACTCCTCTACAAGAGGCAGGCGGCTGAAGACTCCGAGACGTTCAACCTGAGGACGCTGGAAGGCACGTCAGGATCTAATCTGATGGAAAATCAGATAATAATAAATAATAAATCACGAAACTCTGGCAGGCAGATGGAAAACCCAAGCCAGAGCGCCAGTGTCATCTCAGTTCTCGGGGCCTCTCCGTAGGCCCCTCTCTCCTCATCTCCTGCTGCAGCGAGTGCTAAGTGTGCCTGGGGCATTGCAGGAAGCTGAGGAGACCACATCTGGGCTCTCTGACAACTTCTCCAGGCGAGGGGTGCAGGGCTTCCGCCCTACCAGGGACACCTATTACCAAGGCCAGGGTGGGGCCTGTGGGATGGGGCACCCAGGCCCGCCATATAAATATCAGGCTTTGCTTCCATTTCACTGGAGCTGCTGTGGCAGAAACTCCATCAATAAACATCAATCTGTAGGCTGGTCTCTGTGGGGCTGAGTCTTATGACTTCTCAGGGGAAATCACTTCCCAATACCCCCGGGCCGGCTAGAGAGATCGACAAGCACAAATCCCAGAGGACAAAGAAACTCCCCTCCTTCCCTTTCACTGGGGGAACCAGGGCACATGGTCAAAGTCATGAACCAAAACGAGGGGTGAACAATAGAGGCACATGAGACAAGCTAGGGCGCCTCCTCACTCAGAAGAGGGCTGTGACCTAGAGCTGCATACTTCGCTCGGCTGTCCTGGGGATGATGGACAGCACCGGGCAGCCAGGCCCACTTCAGGAAAGTCACACAGGCACAGAAATGGAGCACAAAATAGTGGTGCCTGCTCCAATTCTGGCAACCGCCATGATGCTAAAGATGGCCTGCTGCCCACAGCTTCCTCCAGCCGGCAGAACACCCAGCCTACCCACAGCCTCCACCCTACCAGGGTTCCCACAGGGTTGCCTCGAAGGAATGAGGGTGCCTGCCCTAGATCCAGCTCTGTGGTGGGCTCACTCACTCACCCTGTGTAGGTTTGAGTTTCACCCCAAGGTAGAGGGGTGGCTGCCCAGGCCAGGACTTCCACAGGGCTGTTCTTGAGCCCAGCCTGGCAGATGCATGAAGGACAGACCCCATGCCAGCTGGGCCCAGGAATCTGCCCATGGGGCTGCAGCCCCCTCCTCTGGCGCGAAGTGAGCCTGGCAAGATGCTCAGCTTCTCCCCTGAGCCCTGTTTGACAGCATGGAAGGGGCTCAGCTGAAGCACTCAGGCTCCCTCTTCCTCCTCTGATCCCCTGTGGTTAAGACCAGGGACCCACCTGCTTCTTGTCAAGGCCCTAGCCTCCCAAGTTGGCTGGTTTCTAGACAAGAGCCTCCTCTTGTCTAGGGCTCACTCTAAACCCCAACCCACCCATCTGCCTGCCCACTGCCTGCTCCGAGATACAATCAGAAACTCCTGCCTGAAGGCTCAAGCATCCTGGGCGATGGGACTGACTGGTAACTTGGGGGTAGGAAGGATATTGGTATTTTTTTTTATTTTTTTAACTAATCAGCTGAATTTAAGATTCAAGCATCAATATGGTGAAACAGATTCTCTAGGAGCCTTTAGTGCTGTAGCCAAGGTAAGAACCACTGGGTTAGATGCTACCTCAGGTCCTGCCAGCTTTAACGTCCCATAATAGCAAGTTCCAGCTCCATCCCTTGCTCCACATTTGTCCCTCATGGCCTGGGTGCTGCCTCCTAGCTCTGCAGAGAGGGGCCGGGGGCGGCGGCCAGGCATCCTGGCTCCAGGGCTCCCTCTCCAGTGCTCCGTGCTGCCTCCTGGGTAACCAAAGGAGAGGAAAAAAGCTCTCCCAGGGTCCTGACATCTCGGGAAATTAAACTTTCCTTTGTTCCACATTGAAGTCTAGCCTTTGTCCACATAACACAAATTCAGTTTGGTGTTTTGCTTTTTCATCCGGCCCATCATGCTTTTCCCAGTCTCTACGATTTGGTTCCTTGTTAGCGGCTGCCCCATATTACACCTGGTTATAGGCCATGTCCTCCCATGGCACCAGCTCTTTGGGCTGTGGAGGAAGGCCCTTTTTTCAGCCCTCGTTGGCATGTGGAAGGGTGCTGCCCTTGGCCCAACTCCTAGCACAGCTCCCCTGAAACCACTGGCCCTACCAACGGGCTCGCCACACGGCCTGGTGCCTAGCTTCTCCCAGCCAGTCACCAGGCACCAGCAGACCTGGTCACCCTGCTGATGGTTGTGGGGTCAGCAATCCCTGACCAGTGAGGGGGATCCTTTAGTGGACAAGGAAGAGACCCACCTATGTGAGCATTTCCTTTGACACAATGCAAACACCTGTCTCAAGGCCAGAGCAAGAGGGACTTTGTTCTAAGGTGAGTATTTGGTGACCCACACTGGAGAAGCCACTGATCTCGGACGGTGCCAGGACTGTTGAGCAGGTCACTGGAAACTACTGGGATGGGATGACACTTTCCTGGCCTGGAGACAGCCAGCGCGGCTTCTCCTTGGAAATCATCTGATGCCCCGGTAATCATACTAAACCATTTTCCACACGCGGCTGCCTCTAGGTATCAATGCTGGAGCGCAAGCTGAGACAGAGGGCCCTGGCGGGGAAAGGGTTCCGCCACTAGGAACCATGGGGCCCTGAAGGGGTAGGGGCTGCATCTGCCTGGTTGACGCTCACAGCCTGGAGCTGGGTGCGTGGGAGGTACTAAATAGGAACCTATTGAATGAATGGATGGCACGAGAAATATCAGAATGGGAATGCTTTTATTATTATTATTATTATTATTATTATTATTATTGAGACAGAGTCTCGCTCTTGTCACCCAGCCTGGAGTGCAGTGGTACGACATTGGCTCACTGCAACCTCCATCTCCCGGGTTCAAGCAGTTCTCCTGCCTCAGCCTCCTGAGTAGCTGGGATTACAAGCATCCACCACCACACCTGGCTAATTTTTGTATTTTTAGTAGAGACGGGGTTTTACCATGCTGGCCAGGCTGGTCTTGAACTCCTGACCTCAGGTGATTTGCCCGCCTCAGCCTCCCAAAGTACTGGGATTACAGGTGTGAGCCACCGTCCCTGGCCAGGAAAGGGTTTTATAAACTGTAAGGTAGTGTGTAGGTATTTGCCATGAAGAGGATTAGGGTGCTGTGGGGTTAGGAAGAGTCCAGGTTTTGAGTTTTTCTTTCTGCTGCCCCTGCCTCTTGAGCTAATAAAGGAATAAAAAACAAAGTGAGGCCGGGCGCGGTGGCTCACACCTGTAATCCCAGCACTTTGGGAGGCCGAGGTGGGTGGATCATGAGGTCAGGAGATCGAGACCATCCTGGCTAACAAGGTGAAACCCCGTCTCTACTAAAAATACAAAAAATTAGCCGGGCGCGGTGGCGGGCGCCTGTAGTCCCAGCTACTGGGGAGGCTGAGGCAGGAGAATGGCGTGAACCCGGGAAGCGGAGCTTGCAGTGAGCCGAGATTGCGCCACTGCAGTCCGCAGTCCGGCCTGGGCGACAGAGCGAGACTCCGTCTCAAAAAACAAACAAACAAACAAACAAACAAAAAAAAAACAAAGTGAATCACAACCTGATTATCTTGTGATTCTCCCCATGATTGGTCCCCCTTGGCGAGGCCTAGCTGCGCAGTGCCTGCAAAGATCCTCTCTTTCCCCCGGCATACTTTCTCCGGACACCCTCCCGCCTCTTCTGTCTGCAGTGTAGTGGGCAGGTGTTCCAGGAGGCCCTTCAGCGACATTTACTGACAGGCTGGGTTGGCCGAGTTCTGCAGAGAGCACGGAAGAGACCCACAGTGCCTGCTGAGGGGAAACCTCTTACTCCACACAGGCAGATTCATGTGTCTTAAATGAATAGGGGATGAGGGGGCCTCCTTAGTTTACTCCGAGTAAGAGATGCCTTTCCCTTTCATGACTCAAGCAGACCTGGGAGTCCCACCTTATCTCCCACCCCATGCACAGTCATTACGTAACATCTTAACCTTCAGTCTTCATCTACAAAATGGGTTAATGCCTGTAAAGTGCTTAACACAGTGGCTGGCCCGCAATGAGGAGGCTACAAGCATTGGCCATTATTACTTGGCTATAAAATGGACCCATGTTCGAGGTAGAAAAATAAAAATGCTCTGTAGAGAAAAGCAAAGCACAAAGTAGCAAAGAAACAATCTCCAGTGATTCTCCCCAAGATAACCTCGGCCAACCTGTCCCATATCGGTCGCGACTATTTCCGGCCCACCCAAATGCGCTGCAGAGAATGGGGTTCTCAGCTTAAAGCGTCCATCTGTCCACCAGTCGGCTGTGTAACTTCACACAGGTGCCCTCCCCTGGGCCTCGGTGTTTGCTCCTGTAAAAGGAGGAGCTCCCAGGGAACAAGCCCACATTTCTCTGTAAACAAGGCCCCAGCTGCTAACACAAGCACTAGCCCTCCAGGCCCATCATTGCCTCCCTCATCCCACCTCCTGCACCCACATGCCTGCTGGACTGAGTGGGGGCAGTCACCCCCATCGCTTAGAGGGTCCCTGCCAGGGGGGCTGCTGCAGTCACTACCGTCGGCTGGTAGCTTCCAAGGCATGCCTTGGTGAAAAGCTCTCCAAGCAGTTTTTGCAAAGGAGAAAAATCAATCTCAAAATAATGAGGCTCCAGAAAGGTCCACATTCAGGAAGGAAGTTGCTTAAGAGGAGAGTGGCCAAAGACAAATGAGGTGGGACTTAAGCCAGTCCCTTTCCTCGAGAGGGAGAAAATGCAGAATGTCACCCCCAGCCTGACAGCCCCTTGCTTGGGCCACCTCCGCTCAGCCACCTGGGGAGGACAGCTGCTTCCTAAGGGGCCAGTAGGCTTCATTCTCTGGGTTCTTGGCAGTTACATTTCTTACTATAAATTCATAATTTTTTTTTTTTTTCTAAAAGAAATGAAAATGAGAAATTCCAAGATGTGATGGTATTTTTCAAAAACCTAAAGGTGAATAATTGTTCCTCAAAAATGAAGGGCTCTTGGCTGGGCATGGTGGCTCATGCCTGTAATCTCAGCACTTTGGGAGGCCACGGCAGGCGGATCACTTGAGGTCAGGAGTTCGAGACCAGCCTGACCAACGTGGCAAAATCCCGTCTCTACTAAAAATACAAAAATTAGTCAGGCATGGTGGCGCATGCCTGTAGTCCCAGCTACTCAGGAGGCTGAGGCAGGAGAATTGCTTGAATCTGGGAGGTAGAGGTTTCAGTGAGCTGACATCATGCCACTGCACTCCAACCTGGGCTACAGAGCAAGACCCTGTCTCCAAAAAAAAAAAAAAAAAAAAAAAAAAAAAAGAAGGGCTCTGTTTCCAACTGCCAAGTCTCAGTGACTAAGAGCTGGTGCTCGGGCAGAACATTCTGACTCAGGAACCTTCTGGTGTGGAGGCATGGTAGAGGTAAAGACCACAGTGAAGCCAAGGGAGGGAAAAGGGGCAGAAATGGAGAGATGGAGGGGTGAAGGGGTATAGGGGTAGGAGGCAAAGAAGGAAAAGAAGATCCTTATCTCAGAGCAGGGCTAGAGTGGGGGCCACCTGCCCACCTCAGGCCATGCCAGCAGGTTTTTCTACCCCAGTCCTCAGGACCCCACTACTCAACAGCTGATCCCTGAGCCCACAGGAGGCTCCTCAAAGCCCAACCAATGCCAGGTCCCCAGAGCCTAGCTGGGACCTTCCTCTCAACTCCCCAGGGGCCCCTCACATAGCCTGCAGGGATGAGGAAGAAACCTGGACATACCCAACAATGCACATGCCATGCAGTCTGTGACGATGGCTGAAAATGATCTGGCAAAATCTGAACTCTCCCAGTCAGGCAGGCTTGAATTACAACCAGTCTGCAGAGGTCCAACAACTTTGGGCCAAGTTTCCACCTAAGACCTATTTCAGATTAACTCAATAATGGCCTGGATGGGGCTCCTCTTAAATAGGTCACCCTGTGGCTGCGAACTTTCTGGTGTCCTTGCCCCAGGCCTACTAGCGCTAGAAGAGACAGGCTCTGATTAGCATGTAGTGGGGGCCATGAGGCTTTGAAGGGCTGTGCTGAGGAATATCAAAGGCTGCTTAGGACCAGAGGGCCTTGGGGCCTTGGAATAAAAGGCCCCTTTTCTTAGAGCAGGTCTTGAAGACAGAGACCTGTGCAGCACCAGCAACAGCTACCATTCTTGCTGACAGCACAGAATCACTTTACCGTTCATTAAGCATTTGGCAAGACAGTCCCCCTGGGGCAACCACACGCCTGTGCTGTGGGCTCTCCTTCTGGCCCCCTTTAACATCAAGGGTGCTAAGGTTCTGTGAGGCAAAGGTGCCGGCCCACAGTCATCTGGTGGGCAGCTTTGGCTCTGGGATTGAGAAGGAATGGGCCAGGGCAGTAGGGCATGTAAGCCAAAAGACAAAGGAACAGCATCTTCACTCTGCTGAAAGAAAAAAGCCTAGAACTATATAGCCTGTTAGAAGCCCCTTCCAAAATGAAGGGGAAAAAGATATTTTCAGACAAGTAAAACCTGTGAGAATTTGTTGTCACTTGACCTACTCATATGGTTTGGCTGTGTCCCCACCCAAATCTCATTCTGAATTGTAGTTCCCATAATCCCCACATGTCGTGGGAGGGGCCAGGTAGAGATAACTGAATCATGCAAGCAGTTTCCCCCATACTGTTCTTGTGACAGTTCCCACGCGATCTGATGGTTTTATAAGTTGGCTTTCACCCAACTTCGCTCTGTTCTCCTTGCTGCTGCCATGTGAAGAAGGACATGTTTGCTTCCCCTTCCACCACGACTGTAAGTTTCTTGAGGCCTCCCCAGCCATGCTGAACTGTGAGTCAACTAAACCTCTTTCCTTTATAAATTATCCAGTCTTGGGTATGTCTTTATTAGCAGCGTGAGAACAGACAAGTACACTTACTCCATAAGAGATGTTAAAGGAAGTTCTTCAAGCTGAAAGAAAAGCATACCAAATAAAAGCTCAAATCCAGACAAAGGCAAGAAGAAAGATAAATATGTGAGTAAATATAAAAGGTGCTTTTTTTTTTTTTTTCACTTTAAATGTTACTTAAAGATAACCATATAGGGCGGGTGTGTTGGCTCACACCTGTAATCCCAGCACTTTGGGAGGCTGAGGCGGGTGGATTACCTGAGATCAGGAGTTTGAGGCCACCCTGGCCAACATGGTGAAGTCCTATCTCTACTAAAAATTCAAAAATTAGCCGGGCATGGTCGTGCGTGCCTGTAATTCCAGCTACTTGGGAGGCTGAGGCAGGAGAATCACTTGAACCTGGGAGGTGGAGGTTGCAGTGAGCCAAGATCATGCCACTGCACTCCAGCCTGGGCAACAGAGTGAGACCCTGTCTCAAAAAAAAAAAAAAAAAAAAGATAACTGTATAAAGCAAGAAAACAAAGAGAAAACAAAGTGTATTGTAGGGTTACATCCATCATGTGTAAAACAGGACACAGCACACACAATGACACAGCAAAACAGGACACAGCACAGACAACAGAAGTACACTGTTGTAAATTTCTTAGGTTTCAGCTGAAGTGGTGAATTATTTGGAAGGAGACTGCCGTAAGTTAAAAATGCGTACTGTAAACCCTAGAACAACCACTAAGAAAAGAGAGGTGAGGCCTGGCGCAGTGGCTCACACCTGTAATCCCTGCACTTTAGGAGGCCGAGGTGGGCGGATGATGAGGTCAGGAGATCGAGACCATCCTGGCTAACACGGTGAAACCCCGTCTCTACTAAAGATACAAAAAATTAGCCGGGCATGGTGGCGGGCGCCTGTAATCCCAGCTACTCAGGAAGCTGAGGCGGGAGAATCGCTTGAACCCCGAGGAGGCAGAGCTGAGATGGCACCATTGCACTCCAGCCTGGGGGACAGAGCGAGACTCTGTCTCAAAAAAAAAAAAGAAAGAAAGAAAAAAGAGGTGAATAGCTTATGAGCTAGTAGAAGAAAAAAAATTTAACACTAAAAACAACAGGAATGGAGGAAAAAAGTGAAAAGTAGATGAGAAAAAACAGCAAAATAGATTTAATAATTACGTTATATTAAAATCGTCTCAGCACTTCAATTAAAAGTCAGAGACTTTATCAGGCTGGATAAAAAAAGGAAGATTCATTATATGTTAACAAGAATAAAACTCCTTTAAATATTAAAAAATAGATAAAATAACCAATCATATGTTTTCTGTAAGAAATACACTTTAAATATAATGATACAAATAGGGTAAAAGTAAAAGATTGGGAAAAGAAACACCATGCAAACAGCACTCACAAGAGATTTAACTTTAGAAAGCAAACTTTTGGACAGAGATAAAGATGGAAATTTCATTATGATGAAAGAGTCAGTTCATCAAGATAACACAAACTCCTGGATGTGCACGTGCCTCGTGACAGAGCTTAAAGGTACATGAAGCAAAAACAGAAATAAGAGGAGAAAGACAAATCTAACATAGTTAGTGGTTTCAATACGATAATACAATACAGCTGATAGAAGTAGATAAAACTAGTATGGATTTAGAACACATCAATCTTCAAGTCTCCTTTATCAACTGAATTGACCTAATTGACATTTACAGAACTCTACATCCTACGATGGCAGAACACACATTCTTTTCAACAATACATGAAACATTCACCAAGACAGAATGTATGCTGGGCCATAAACCAACTCTCAAATTTTAAACGATAAAGAGTATCTCCTCTGGATATGAAAGAAGTACATTAGACAACAATAACAAAAATATATCTGGAAAAAAACCCCGAATATATGGAAATTAAGCCAGACACTTTTCAATAGCCAATGGGTTGAATAACTGGAAATTAGAAAACATTCTGAAATGAAAGATAAAAAAATACAACATATCGAAATGTGTGGAATGAAGCTAAGGTAGTGCCTGGAGGAAAATTCATAGCTTTATATATTATTTTTGGAAAAGAAGAAAGATTTAAAGTTAATAATCCAAGCCTCTACATTAAGAAGCTAGAAAAAGAGGAGTAAATTATATTCAAAGTGAGTAGAATAAAATAGAGATAAAAGCAGAAATAAACAAAATAAAAACAGAATTTAGAAAGTTAAACTAAAGGCTTTGAGAAGCTTTTCTTTGAAAAGATCAATAAAATTGATAAATCTCTAGCTAGGGCAGTCAAGAAATAAAAAAAAATACAAATTATCAATGATAGAAATGAAAGAAGGAACATTATTATTGATCCTGTTGACATTAAAGGATATTATAAGGATATTACAAAAAAAGTTACACCAATAAATTCAACACCTTTGATTAAAAGGAAACTTCCTTGAAAGAACCAATTACCAAAAATGACACAAGAAATAAAAATCAGATAAGCCCTTTATAAAGAAACTCAATTTAAAAATCTTTTCCTCAGAGAAAACTCAGGTCCAAATGGTGGCCCTGGCAAATTCTACCAAATGTTTAAGGAAGAAATAATACACTTCTTACCCAAAGTTTTTCAGAAAATAGGGGGTAGAAACAATTCACAATCATCCTATGAGGCCAATATCACACTGAAAGCAAAAGCAGAAAGACATCACAAGAAAAACTACAAGCCCCTAAACCCTTATGACTATGGATGCAAATTTCCTTGACAAAATATTAGCAAATGGAAATCAGCAAAAAAGGATAACACATTATGGACAAGTGGGGTTTATCTCAGGCGTGCAAGGTTTAAGGTTTGAAATACAACTCATATTAATGGTATCAAGAAAAATGTAAATTCAATAAATACTGAAAAAGTTTCTGGCTGTAGAATTATTTAAGAAACAGAAATACTAAAAAAGCATTTAAGAAAATTCAATAACCCTTCCGGATAAAAACAGAAAACTAGGAAGAAGGAGGAACTTCCTCACCATTATAAAAGGCATCTATAAAAATCTTACAGTTATCATCATACTTAATGATGAAAAGTTGAACTCTTTTCTCTAAAATAAATTTTCCTTATTCCTAAAACCAGAAATAAACTTCCTGGTTTAGGAATAAAATTCCTAAAACTTATTATTAGAAATAATAAGTCATGTCTGCTATTACCACTTCTACTCAACATTACATTAGAAGTTCCAGTCAGTGCAATAAGGCAAGAAAAAGAAACCAAAAGCATATGGGTTAGAAAGGAAGAAATGAAAAAGGTTTTACTTACAGATAACATGATCACATTGTGTTAGAAAGCCCTAAAGAATCTAAAGAAAAGCCACATGAACTAAAATGTGAATTTAGAAAGACTGTGGAATAAAAGGTCAATATATAACAATCATTTTTCTGAAATACTAGCAATGAACAACTGGAAAATGACATTTAAAAATAATACCATTTAGGCCATGGACGGTGGCTTATGCCTGTAATCCCAGCCCTTTGGGTGGATTATCTGAGGTCAGGGCTTGAGACAAGCCTGGCCAACATGGTAAAACCCCATCTCTACTAAAAAAAAAAAATACAAAAATTAGCCATGTATGCGTGGCGCATGCCTGTAATTCTAGCTACTCAGGAGGCTGAGGCAGGAGAATTATATGAACCTGGGAGGAGGAAGTTGCAGTGAGCCAAGATCATGCCACTGCACTCCAGCCTGGCCAACAGAGTGAGACTCTGTCTCAAAAAAACAATAAAATAAAAATAGTACCATTTAAAATGACATCAAAAACAGTAAATACAAATAAGTTTAACAAAATATGTGAAAGACAACACATGGCTAAGATAAATTAAAGACCTAAATAAATGGAGAGACATACCAAGTTCATGGATTGGAAACTTAAATATTGTTAAAATATCAATTTTCCACAATTAATGTATAGATTCAATGCAATCCCATTCAGTAACCCAGGAGACTTTTTGTTGAAATTGACAAGCCAATTCTTAAATCTATATAGAAAATCAGGCCGGGTGCAGTGCCTCACGCCTGTAATCCCAGCATTTTGGGAGGCCCAGGCGGGTGGATCACTTGAGGTCAGGAGTTCAAGACCAGCATGGCCAACATGGTGAAACCCTGCCTCTATTAAAAATACAAAATTAGCCAGGCATGATGGCACGCACCTGTAATCCCAGTTACTTGGGAGGCTAAGGCAGGAGTATTGTTTGAACCCAGGAGGCGGAGGTTGCAGTGAGCGGAGATCACACCACTGCACTCTAGCCTGGGTGACAGAGTGAGATGCTGTCTCAAAAATCAAAGGATGAAGAATAGCCAAAACAGTTTTGGAAAACAAGAACAAACCTGGAGGACTTAAATTACCTACTAACATGATTTACTATACAACTAAAATAATCAAGGCAGTGTAGTATTGGCGTAAGTATGGACTTATAATGGAACATAGCAGAGTTCAGAAATAGACATGCACATATGTGATCAACTGAATTTTTTTTTTTTTTTTTGAGACAGAGTCTAGCTCTGTTACCCAGGTTGAAGTGCTGTAGTACAATCTCAGCTCACTGCAACCTCCGCCTCCTGGGTTTCAAGCAATTCTCCTGCCTCAGCCTCCCAAGTAGCTGGGACTATAGGCACACAGCACCATGCCCGGCTAATTTTTTTGTATTTTTAGTAGAGAATGGGGTTTCACCATGTTGGCCAGGCTGGACTTAAACTCCTGAATTCAAATGATCCACCCGCCTCGGCCTCCCAAAGTGCTGGGATTACAGGTGTGAGCCACCACGCCCAGCCTGATCAACTGAATTTCAATAAAGCTGTCAAGGTAAGTCAATGAAGGAGAAGCTTCATTTAAAAAAAATAGTACTTGAACAACTAAATATACATATGGCAAAAAGTAACCTTGACAACTATGTCACCCCATACACAAAAACTAATTCAAAATGGAACATAAACCTAGATGTAAAGGTTAAAACTATAAAACATCTAGAAGAAAACATAGCACTATCTTTAGGTAGGCAAAAATTTCTTAGAACACAAAAAGGACTAATCATAATAGAAACATCTGATAAGTAGTTTTCATCAAAATTAAAATCATGTGATCTCAGAAAGATACCATTAAAAAATGAAAAGGTAAACCACAGGAGAAGTTTTTCCCAATATATGTTCGTGACAACTTGTATTCACAATATGTAAAGAACTCTACAAATGCATAATAAGGCAAACATCACCCTCCCATAAGCAAAAGATTTGAAAAGGTGTTTTATAAAAGAAGACATACAAATGGCTAATAAGAACATGAAGAGATGCTCAATATCATTAGTAACTAGAGAAATATAAATTAAAACCGTAATGAGATACCATTACATGCCTACAGGAAGAAGTGAACTTAAAAAGACCAACAATTCCAGGTTGGCAGGATGCGGGACAACTGAATTCTCATACCTTGCTGGTGGGGATGTAAAATGGTATAATCACTTTGGAAAACAAAGTGTAGCAGTTTATTTTGTCTTTTCTTTAAATTCTTTCTTTTCTTTTCTTTTTTTGAGATAGGGTCTCACTCTGTTGCCCAGGCTGAAGTGCAGTGGCATGATCATAGCTCACTACACTCTTAATCTCCTTGGGCTCAAGCAATCCTCCCACCTCAGCCTCCTGAGCAGCTAGGACTACAGGCGTGCACCATCATGCCTGGCTAATTTTTAAATTTTTTTGTAGAGATGGGGTACTGTTATGTTGGCCAGGCTGGTCTCAAAGTTTTGGCCTCAGGTGATCCCCCTGCCTTGGCCTCCCAAAGTGCTAGGATTACAGGCATGAGCCACTGCACCCAGCTGGCAATTTCTTATAAGGATAAATATACACTTATGATATGACCTATAATTCCACTTCTAGATATACCTAAGAGAAATAAAAACATATGTCCATGAAAATACATGCATTTTAAATGTTAACAGCAGTTTTATGGCTCATAGCAGCCCCAAACTGAAACTATTCAAACATCCATTAACAGATGAAAAATTGTGGTATATTCACACTATGGAAAACGAGTTAGCAATAAAAACGAACAAACTACATATTCACATAACATGGATGAACCTCAAAAGCATGATACTGAATGAAAGAGGGCACACGTCCTATTGTTTGATTTCATACAATGGAATTCTAGAACAAGTAAAACTATAGTGCATAAAGATCAGTTGCTATCTAAAGCAAGATGTTGGGGGATATTGACTGCAAAGAGGTATGAGAAAACTTTTGGGGATGATTAAAATGTTCTATATCTTTTTTAGGGTGGCAGCTACACAGGTGTATACATGTCAAAACTCAAAGAACAGTTAAAATCAGTTCATTTTGTTGCATTTAAATTCAATAATAATAAGGTTGATTTAAAAAGGAAAAAAAGGACAACCATTTACTGATCCAGTTCTAGTCATTTATCCTACAGACATACAGATATACATATGACCAAATATTGATATATATAAATGTACATTTCAAAACTGTTTGCAATAGCTTTTAGGACAGTTTTTGGGATGGAAACATTCAGCACTGTTTGCAATAGCTTTTAGGATGCTTTTTAGAATGAAACATCCTAAAAGCACTATTTGCAATAGCAAAACATCTGGAAACGCCCTAAATGCCCTTCAAAAAGAGACTGGTTATTTAAACTATGAAACATGAATATAACAGAATATTATATAGCTGTTAGGGAATCTAATGGAACTCTGTGTACTAATATGGAAAAAACCTTTAAGACATAGTCAGTGAAAAAGATCAAGGAGCAAAACAGTATGTATACTATAATTCTATTTACTTTTCATAGGGTATCTATAGTATATGTGTTTTAAAAGAATGTATAAGAAAAACAGTATATAAAAATAATAAAACAAAAATCCAATTCCTTGAAAATATCAATAAAATCTATAAACCTCTAGCCAGATTGAGGACGAAAAAAGAATGATACAAATGACTAATATCAGCAATGAAAGAGGGGAAATCACTACAGATCTCACAGACAAAGAACAACAAGGAAATATCATGAGCAACTTTTTGCTCACAAACTTGACAACTTAGACAAAATAAACAAAGCCTTGAAATACAAACATACCAAAACTCACTCATAAAAAAAACCTGAGGAGTCTATTAATGAAATTGATTCTATAGTTTAAAATCTTACAACAGAAAACTCAGGGCTCAGAAGGCTTTGGTGAAGAAGTCTACCAAATATTTAAGAATTAGGCTGGGCACG
The DNA here is from genome assembly GCF_000001405.40 of Homo sapiens. Lineage (NCBI taxonomy): Eukaryota > Metazoa > Chordata > Mammalia > Primates > Hominidae > Homo > Homo sapiens. Next base: position 30,847,568 of record NC_000022.11, on the reverse strand, counting down.
GTGGCTCACACCTGTAATCTCAGCACTTTGGGAAGCTGAGGCGGGTGGATCACGAGGTCAGGAGTTCGAGACCAGCCTGGCCGACATGGTGAAATCCCATCTCTACAAAAAATACAAAAATTAGCCAGGCGTGGTGGTGGGCACCTGTAGTCCCAGCTGCTCGGGAGGCTGAGTCAAAAGAATTGCTTGAACCTGGGAGGTGGATGTTCCAGTGAGCCGAGGTCATGCCACTGCACTCCAGCCTGGGTGAACAGCAAGACTCCCTCTCAGGGAAAAAGAAAAAAGAATGAGCCTGGGTGCAGGTGCCTCAGGCCTGTAATTCCAGCACTTTGGGAGGCCGAGGTAAGAAGATCACCTGAGTTCAGGAGTTTGAGACCAGCCTGGCCAACAAAGTGAAACCTCATCTCTACTAAAAATACAAAAATTATCTGGGTATGGTGGCAGGTGCCTGTAATCTCAGCTACTTAGGAGGCTGAGGCAGGAGGATCATTTGAACCTGGGAGGTGGAAGTTGCAGTGAGCCAAGATTGTGCTACTGTACTCCAGCCAGGGTGATTGAGAAAGACTCCATCTCAAAAAATAAATAAATAAATAAATAAAATTTAAGAGTGAAATAATATCAATTCTACACAGACCAAGGACCTAAACCAAAGATCACAAAAAAAGAAAACAACAGACCAATATACCGCATGAACAAAGACACAAAAATACTCAGAAAAGTACTAGCAAATTGAATCCAGCAATACATAAAAAGTATAACACATATTAAGTGAGGTTTCTTCCAGAAATGAATGTTGGTTCAATGATGAAATATCAATAAAAGATAACCAAACTTAAAAATGGTATTTGAATAGACATTTCTCCAAAGTAGATACACAGATATCTTCTTCGGTCAATAAACACATGAAAAAATGCTCATGTCATTAGTTATTAGAGAAATGTAAATCAAAACCAGAGTGAGAGGGAGGGAAGGGGATTAAAAAAAAAACCCACAGTGAGATACTAGCATTTCCCACCTACTAGGATGGCTATTATCAAAAGAGCAGAAAATAACAAATATTGGTAAGGATGTGGGAAAATTGGAACTCTCATACTGTGGGAATGTAAATAGTACAATCAGGCTGGGTGCGGTGGCTCACACCTGTAATCCCAGCACTTTGGGAGGCCAAGGCGGGTGGATCACTTGAGGTCAGGAGTTCAAGACCAGCCTGCCTGGCCAATATGGTGAGACCCTGTCTCTACTAAAAATACAAAAATTGGCCAGGCATGGTGGTGCATGCCTGTAATCTCAGCTACATGAAAGGCTGAGACAGGAGAATTGCTTGAACCTGGGAGGCAGAGGTTGCAGTGAGCCAAGATTACACCACTGCACTCCAGCTGGGTGACAGAGTTGAGACCCTGTCTCAAAAAAATAATGTAAGATAAAATAAAATAAAATAAAATGATATGATCACTTTAGAAAACAGTTGGGCAGTCATTATATAACCCAGCAATCCCACTCCTAGGTATACACCCAAGAAAAATGAAAACATATATCCACACAAAAACTCACACATGAATGTTCATAGCAGCATTGTTCATTATGGGCCCAAAGTTAATGTCCATCAACTGATGAATGGATAAAGGCAGTATACAGGCATACCTCTTTTATTCTGCTTTGCAAATACTGCCTTTTTTTTTTTTTTTTTTTTGAGAGAGTCTCACTCTGTCACCCAGGCTGGAGTGCAGTGGCACGATCTCAGCTCACTGCAACCTCCACCTCCTGGGTCAAGCAATTCTTCTGCCTCAGCCTCCCAGGTAGCTGGGATTACAGGCACGTGCCACCACACCTGGCTAATTTTTGTATTTTTGGTAGAGATGGGATTTCACCATGTTGACCAGGCTGGTCTCGAACTCCTGACCTCATGATCTGCTCACCTCGGCCTCCCAAAGTGTTGGGATTACAGGTGTGAGCCACCGTGCCTGGCCGTCCCCCACCCCCACTTTTTTTTTTTTAAACAAATTGAAGGTCAGTAGCAACCCTGCATTGAGCAGGTCTATTGGTGCCATTTCTTCAACATCATAGGCTCACTTCATGTCTCTGTGTCACATTTTGGTAATTCTTACAATATAACAATTTATTTATTTATTTATTTATTTAATTTCTGAGATGCAGTCTCACTCTTGTAGCCCAGGCTGGAGTGCAATGGCACGATCTCAGCTCACTGCAACCTCTGCCTCCCAGGATCAAGCAATCCTCCTGCCTCAGCCTCCTGGGATTACAGGCACCTACCACCACGCCTGGCTAAGTTTTTGTATATATGGTAGAGACGGGTTTCACCATGTTGGCCATACTGGCTGTAAACTCCTGACCTCAGGTGATCCGCCCACCTTGGCCTCCCAGAGTACTGGGATTGCAGGTGTGAGTCACTGCACCCGGCTAAACTTTTTCATTATTATATCTGTTATGATGATCTGTTATCAGAGATCTTTGATGTTACAGCTGTAATTGCTGGAGTGCAACAAACCACATCCATATAAGATGGCAGACTTAATCAATAAATGTTGTATGTGTTCTGACTGTTCCACTGACCAGCCATTCCCCCATCTCTCTCCTTCTTGAGCCTCCCTTTCCTGAGACACAACATTATTGAAATTAGGCCAATTAATAACCATACAAAGGCCTCAAAGTGTTCAGGTGAAAGAAAGAGTTGCATGGCTCTCACTTTAAATCAAAAGCTAAAAACCAGTAAGCTTAGTGAGGAACTCATGTTGAAAGTTAAGACAGGCCCAAACCTAGGCCTCTTGCACTAATTAGCCAAGTTATGAATGCAAAGGACATGTTCTTGAAGGAAATTAAAATTGCTACTCCAGTTAAGACATAAATGATAAGGGAAACAGTCTTATTGCTGATAGAAAGTTTTAGTGGTCTGGATAGAGGATCAAACCAGCCATGACATTCCCTTAAGCCAATACCTAATCCAGAGCAAGCCCTTAACTCTCTTCAGTTGTATGGAGGCTGACAGAGGTGAGGAAACTGCAGAAGAAAAATCTGAAGCTAGTAGAGGTTGGTTCATGAGGTTTAAGGAAATAAGCCATCTCCATGACCTAAAAGGGCAAGGTGAAGCAGTAAGTGCTGATGTAGAAACTGCAGCAAGTTATCCAAAAGATCTAGCTAAGATAATAGATGAAGGTGGCTACATTACACAACAGGGTTTCAATGTAGATGAAACAGTCTTCTGTTGGAAGAAGATGTCATCTAGGGCTTTCATAGCTACAGAGGAGAAGTCAACGCCTGACTTCAAAGGACAGGTTGGCTCTTCTTAGGGGACAATGCGGCTGGTGACTTTAAGTTGAAGCTAATATTCATTTACCATTCCAAAGACCCTAGGGCCCTTAAGAATTATGCTAAATTTGGCCAGGCGCGGTGGCTCATGCTTGTAATCCTACCACTTTGGGAGGCCAAAGCGAGCAGATTGCTTGAGCACAGGAGTTCGAGACCAGCCTGGGTGACACAGTAAAACTCTGTGTCTACAAAAAATACAAAAGTAAGCTGGGCATGTTGGTGTACACCTGTGGTCCCAGCTACTCGGGAGGTTGAGGTAGGAAGATCACCTGAGCCCAGGAAGGTGAAGTCTCCAGTGAGCTGTGATCCCTCCACTGCACTCCGGCCTGGGTGACAGAGTAAGATCTTGTCTCAAAAAAAAAAAAAAAAAATTGTTTGAGACAGGGTCTCACTCTATTACCCAGGCTGGAGTGCAGTGGCACGATCCTGGCTCACTGCAACCTCCAACTCCTGGGCTCAACTGATCCTCCCACCTCAGCCTTCCAAGTAGCTGGGACTACAGGCACACACCACCATGCTGGGCTGATTTTTATTTTTTATTTTGGTAGAGATGGGGTTTCACTATGTTGCCCAGGCTGGTCTTAAACTCCTGAGCTCAAGTGATCTGCCCTCCTTGGCCTCCCACAGTGCTGGGATTACAGGCATGAGCTACAGTTCCTGGCTGAATTATTCTAAATTTATTCGGCCTATGCTCTATAAATGGAACAATGAAGCCTGAATGACAGCACACCTGTTTATAGTGTGGCTTATGGAATATTTTAAGCCCACTGTCAGGACCTATTGCTCAAGGGGGAGGGGGGAAAGATTCCTGAAAACGTACTGTGGCTTCCAGCAGGGTCCCTGGGAGCACTGCCAGTTTGGCAAATGAAGCTTGCAAAATACTGGACAATGTGGGAGCCTGGCTTCAGGGCGTCTACGAATTTGCCACCAATGGGGTCTCTGGAAATGATTCACTCTCTTAGACACCATTAAGAACATTGGTGATTCATGGGAGGAGGTCAAAATATCAACATTAACAGAAGTTTGGAAGAAGTTGATTCCAACCCTCCAGGATGACTTTGAGGGGTTCAAGACTTCAGTGGAGGAAGTAACTGCAAATGTAGTAGAAATAGCAAGAGAATCAGAATTAGAAGTGGAGCCTCAAGATATAACTGAATTGCAGGCCGGGTGCGGTGGCTCACACCTGTAATCCCAGCACTTTGGGAGGCTGAGGTGGGTGGATCACTTGAGGTAAGGAGTTTGAGACCAGCCTGGCCAACGTGGTGAAACCTCGTCTCTACTAAAAATAAAAATAAAAATTAGCCAGGTGTGGTGGCACACTCCTGTAATCCCAGCTGCTCAGGAAGCTGAGGCAGGAGAATCGCTTGAACCCAGGAGATGGAGGTTGCAGTGAGCCGAGATTGCGTCACTGCACTCCAGCCTGGCTGGATGACAGAGCCAGACTCCTTCAAAAAAAGAAAGAAAGAAAGAAAGAACGAACTGAATTGCTGAAATCTCATGACAAAACTTGAACGAATAAAGAGTTGCTTCTTACGGATGAGCAGAGTGGTTTCTTGAGATGAAATCTAATCCTGGTGAAGATGCTGTGAACACTGTTGAAATGATAACAAAGGATTCAGAATATTACATCAACTTAGTTGAAAAAGCAGTGGCAGGGTTTGAGAGGATTGATTCCAATTTTGAAAGAAGTTCTACTGAGGATAAAATGCTATCAAACATGGCACAGAGAAATCGTTTGTGAAAGGGAGAGTTGACTGATGTGGCAAACTTCAGTGTTGTCTTATTTTCAGAAATTGCTGCAACCACCCCAACCTTCAGCAATCACCACGCTGATCAGTCACCAGCCATCAACATCAAGGCAAGGCCCTCCACCAAGAAAAAAAACTGGCTGAAGGCTCAATGATTGTTAAGTTGTTAGTAATAGAGGGTTTGTTTTGTTTTGTTTTTGAGACAGGGCCTTGCTCTGTCGCCCAGACTGAAGTGCGATGGTTCATTGCATTGTTCATAGTTGGCTGCATTCATAGTTCACTGCAGCCTCAAACTCCTGAGCTCAAGGGATACTCCCACTTCAGGAGTTCGAGACCAGCCTGGGTGACACGATAAAACTCTGTGTCTACAAAAAATACAAAAGTAAGCTGGGCATGTTGGTGCACCCCTGTGGTCCCAGCTACTCGGGAGGTTGAGGTAAGAAGATCACCTGAGCCCAGGGAGGTGAAGGCTCCAGTGAGCTGTGACCTCTCCACTGCACTCCAGCCTGGGTGACAGAGTAGGACCCTCTCTCAAAAAAAAAAAATTGTTTGAGACAGAGTCTCACCCTATTACCCAGGCTAGAATGCAGTGGTTCAATCCCAAGTAGTCAGGATTACAGGTGCATGCCACAACTCTCAGCTATTTTTTTTTGTTGTTTTTGGTACAGACAAGTTCTCACTATGTTGCCTGGACTAGTCTCAAACTCTTGGCCCCTGATCCTTCTGCCTCAGCCTCCCAAACCACTGCAATGAGAGGTGTGAGCCACCATGCCAGGTCTACAATAAAATATTTTTAAGTGAAGATATATACATTGTTTTTTAGACATAATGCTATTGCTCACTTACTAGAGTACAATATAAACATAACTTTAATATGCATCAGGAAACCAAAAAATTCATGTGACGCACTTATTGCTTTATCTGGAACTGAATCTGCAATATCTCCGAGGTATGACTGTATCTACGTCACGGAATCTTACTCAACAGTACAAAGGAGAGAAGTACTGATACATGTAGCAACACGCATAAGCTCTGAAAACATTATGCTAATTGAAAGAAGCCAGTCACAAAGGTTGTACATTATGTGGTTTCATTTGTATAACATGTCCAAAGTAGGCAAACCTATAGAGACAGAAAGTAGACAGCAGTTGCTTAGGGTTGAGGGGTCAGGAGAAATGGGGATTGACTGCTAACAGGTATAAGATTTATTTCAGGAGGGATAAAAATGTTCTAAAATTGAGTGTAACGATGGTTTGCCTAGCCTTGTAAATATAGTAAAAGACATTGTACACTTTATTTTTTATTATTTATTTTTTGTTTTTTTGTTTTTGTGAGACAGAGTCTCACTCTGTCACCCAGGCTGGAGTACAGTGATGCAATCTCAGCTCACTGCAGCCTCCGCCTCCCGGGTTCAAGTGATTCTCATTCCTCAGACCCCCAAGTAGCTGGGGTTACAGGTGCCCGCCATCACACCTGGTTAATTTTTGTATTTTTAGTAGAGATGGGGTTTCATCATGTTGGCCAGACTGGTCTTAAACTCCTGACCTCAAGTGATCCACCTGCCTGGGCCTCCCAAAGTCCTGAGATTACAGGCATGAGTCACCTCGCCTAGCCCACGTTGTACACTTTAAATGGATTATGTGGTGTGTGAATTATATCTCAAGAAAGCTGTTAAAAAAAAAAACACTAAAACTAGCATGTATGCAGCACTTTGTATGTGCCAGGGCTTTACATTAATTATCTCATTAAGTCCTCCCACCCACCATACAGAAAGGAACAAATAGGTAAGATTTATTAAGCATTTACTTTGTGCCAGACACTATTCTGAGTTATTTCCCCATATCAACTCTTTCACTTCTTGCCTTATTATCAATCCCATCTTACAGATAAGACATAGGTTTGGAGAGGCTATGTTACATGTACACATCTGGTAAGGGGCAGAGCTAAGTCTGAACTCAAGTGGCTAACTGAGATTTTACCACTCCCCACCCCATCTCCCTCCCATCTCTTTAATGAAGTGGTTCTCAAATTGTAATCACTGGACCAGCATCATCTGGGATCTTGTTAGAAATGCCAATCTTCCAGCTCTATTCTAGAGCTAATGAACAAGAAAAAACCTTGAGGGTGTAAGGTGTAAGGAAGGGATCCAGTTTCAGCTTTCTTTTTTTTTTTCCTTTTTCTTTTTTTTTTTAACAGGTTTATTTAATAAACATTTATTGAATGCCTGCTATATACCAGGGTTTGTTTGCAACAAGATGCACTTTAAGTTTCTTTCTTTTTTTTTTTTATTACACTTGAAGTTTTAGGGTACATGTGCACATTGTGCAGGTTAGTTACATATGTATACATGTGCCATGTTGGTGCACTGCACCCACTAACTCGTCATCTAGCATTAGGTATATCACCCAATGCTAAAAAAGAAAGTTGAAAAAAAAAAAAAAAGAAAGCTGAAACTGGATCCCTTCCTTACACCTTATACAAAAATTAATTCAAGATGGCTTAAAAGACTTAAACGTTAGACCTAAAACCATAAAAACCCTAGAAGAAAACCTAGGCAATACCATTCAGGACATAGGCATGGGCAAGAACTTCATGTCTAAAACACCAAAAGCAATGGCAACAAAAGCCAAAATTGACAAATGGGATCTAATTAAACTAAAGAGCTTCTGCACAGCAAAAGAAACTACCATCAGAGTGTACAGGCAACCTACAAAATGGGAGAAAATTTTCGCAACCTACTCATCTGACAAAGGGCTAATATCCAGAATCTACAATGAACTCAAACAAATTTACAAGAAAAAAACAACCCCATCAAAAAGTGGGCAAAGGATATGAACAGACACTTCTCAAAAGACATTTATGCAGCCAAAAGACACATGAAAAAATGCTCATCATCACTGGCCATCAGAGAAATGCAAATCAAAACCATAATGAGATACCATCTCACACCAGTTAGAATGGCAATCATTAAAAAGTCAGGAAACAACAGGTGCTGGACAGGATGTGGAGAAATAGGAACACTTTTACACTGTTGGTGGGACTGTAAACTAGTTCAACCATTGTGGAAGTCAGTGTGGCGATTCCTCAGGGATCTAGAACTGGAAATACCATTTGACCCAGCCATCCCATTACTGGGTATATACCCAAAGGACTATAAATCATGCTGCTATAAAGACACATGCACACATATGTTTATTGTGGTACTATTCACAATAGCAAAGACTTGGAACCAAGCCAAATGTCCAACAATGATAGACTGGATTAAGAAAATGTGGCACATATACACCATGGAATACTATGCAGCCATAAAAAATGATGAGTTCATGTCCTTTGTAGGGACATGGATGAAATTGGAAATCATCATTCTCAGTAAACTATCGCAAGGACAAAAAACCAAACACCACATGTTCTCACTCATAGATGGGAATTGAACAATGAGAACACATGGACACCGGAAGGGGACCATCACACTCTGGGGACTGTTGTGGGGTGGGGGGAGGGGGGAAGGGTGGGGGGAGGGGGGAGATTAGGTATATCTCCTAATGCTAAATGATGAGTTAATGGGTGCAGCACACCAGCATGCCACATGTATACATATGTAACTAACCTGCACATTGTGCACATGTACCCTAAAACTTAAAGTATAATAATAATAAAAAAAAACAAAACGAAACAACAACAACAACAAAAAACCTTGAGGGTGGGACCAAAATATAAAAATCAAAATAATTCACTATATTAACAGACTAAAGAAAAAAAATCCAAGTGATAATAATTTTAATAGGCACAGAAAAAAAAAGCACTGGGCAAAATTAAACATCTCTTCGTCATAAAATCTCTCAGAAAACTAGGAATAAAAGGGAACTTGCTCAACTTGATAAGAGATCTGTAAAAAACATACAGTGCAGATCGTAGTTAATGGTGAAAGACTGAATGTTCTCCCCCAGGACTAGGACCATGGCAAGGATTTCTGCTGTCATCACTTCTATTTAACATTGTACTGGAGGTTCCAGCCAATGGAATAACGTAAGAAAAAGAAATACACAAAAGTACATTAAAGTATTTGTTTTGTGGGTTTATATACTTTTATTTCCTCATATTTTCCTATATTTTTCCAATTATTTCATAGATATGAATCAGACCTGGTTCTTATCCTCAGGGAATTAACAGTATTATGCAATCACATCCCCAGGGACTCCAAACACTGGAACACAAGTTGGAAGAGAAGCACATTTAACCTTCCAGTCCCCTTCATGCCACAGCTGCATGCTCGGGATGTGCATGAAGCTGCTGCTGGGACCCTCTAAATTGGACAGCTTGCTGCCACACGAGGAATCCTGACAAGGTCTAGATCCTAAAAGGGTGGGCTCTGGTTTGCTGAACCTCACAGTTCTGCTATCTTTACCAAATGACTTAATCTCACTGTGTCTAGTTTCTTCCTCTCTAAAATCAGAATAGAAAAAATATGTACCTCGGGGCTGAAAAGAAATTAAATTTGACAATGTACATAAAAAGCACAGCATAGTTTTTGGCACATACAAAGCATTCACTAAAAATAACGATGATGCTCTTTCACAAAAAGCACATGTGAGCTTGGAAAAATGAAGACCTACATTATTCTAAAGAGGGTTCACATGCCCAACCAATGTGTAAGAAGCAGAGTCTTCAGGGCTGCAAAGGAAGCAACCAAGACAATGCTGGCATCAAGATTTAGCCCGGCCTTAGGTCCTGACTCCTCCTGTGGCTTGCATCACCCTGTCGCACCCTGGGCTTTGCTCACCCCGAACCTGCCTAGAACCACATCACAATCGCAGCCTCAGCAGCTGGCAAACGAGCGCAGGGCTCAGAGCCACACATGCTCAGGGAGTTGCAGGGTGACCCAGATTCTAGGAAATGCCATTTGGAATGACAATGGACTCCATTCCTTCTGAGCTAGGCACCAAGAGAAAAGTAGAGGCATTTTTCTTCTGCAATAGTTTCTTCTTCACACAGTGCAGACTCTTGGAAGCCACAAGCTACCTATAAACCAGTGCACAGCACTGCTAGGTAGAATGGCCCACCTCCTTCTCATGGGGACGAGCGGGACCCCAGCAAAAGGGGTCTCAGTGGTTTTCCATGCTTCTGCATCACTGCCTGGGCACAAATAACCACTTCTCTACCCCCAGTGGAACAGAAAAGGAAGCCAAGGTCCATTAGGGTTATGGGCAAACTTTCTTTCTTTTTTTTTTTTTTTTTGAGACAGAGTCTCACTCTGTTGCCCAGGTTGGAGTACAGTGGCATGATCTTGGCTCACTGCAACCTCTGCCTCTCAGTTTCAAGTGATTCTCCTGCCTCAGCCTCCCTAGTAGCTGGGATTACAGGTAGATGCCACTACACCTGGCTAATTTTTGTATTTTAGTTGTTGTTGTTGTAGAGATGGGGTTTCGCCATGTTGGCCAGGCTAGTATTGAACTCCTGGGCTCAAGTGATGTGCCTGCCTTGGCCTCCCAAAGTGCTGGGATTACAGGAGTGAGCCACTTTTTATCATCTTTGATCTGTTAAATTGGTTCTTTAATCACATTCACCCACTTAACAAGAGTTGACGGAGAACCTGTCATGTGCCAGCTACTACATAAGGCACTGGGGACACAGGCAGCAGTCCCTAAAAGCCACTAAGTCCCCAAGCCTCCTTCTTTCTGGCCAATATCAACCAGAACTCCAGTGATTATCACCTCTTGGGGCTTCTGGAGTCTCTCCTCTCCCAATTGCCTGCTGTGTCTGCTGACCCTGGGGCTACCTGCCCTGCTGCATCCCACTCGCTCCACCAGCTCTTCACTGAACCACGCCTGCATCAGCACCTTTGCCTGAAAGCTTGCCCAAAGACATAAACTTAGTGGTAAATACCTTTGAATTACCTTTCCCGAAATATCTCCGGTTTGGCAGCAGCAGAAGGTTAAGCATTATATTCAGGGGGTTACAATGAAAATGTGTCTTCCTTTTGCCAGGCAAAGAAAAGGAAGGAGGAAAGGTCTTCAACTGTTGGCCAGTGGAGCAAATGTGAACCAACAACAAATAGCTTTGTATGTGCTTGCCATTAAGGGAAGCAGAATTCAGAGGCTAAGGGTAGAGCCTGCAAGTCGGCCTGCCCAAGTTCAAACAAGCCTGGCTCTGCCAGTCATTAGCATTATGGCCTGGGACATAACCTCTCTAGCCTGTTTTCCCATTTCTAAAACAGGAATAACAGCACCCTGATAAGCGAGCAGGGGGACTTGAACTACAAGATATCAAACTGTATTATAAAGTACTTAAGGTACTGTGGTACTAAAGCAGGGGAAAAAATTGTTCTGTGAAATGAGAGCGAGCACCCCAAACAGACCCAAGCATATGTAGAACTCTGACAGTCATCAGAAGTGGTAGAGTGGATCAGAGGAGAGAAGAGAAACTGCTCAATAAATAGCACTGAGCTACTTGGTTGACCACATCAGAAAAATACAATTAATGGCTGGGCATGGTGGCTCATGCCTGTAATCCCAGCATTTGGAAGGCCAAGGCAGGAGGAGCACTTGAGGCCAAGAGTTCAAAACCAGCCTGGGCAACATAGTGAAACCCCACCTTTACAGGAAAAAAAAAAATTTAGCCAGGTGTGGTGGCACATGCCTGTAGTCCCAGCTACTTGGGAGGCTGAGGTGGGAGGATCACTTGAGATAGGGGAGGTCGAGGCTGCAATGAGCCGTGATCATGCCACTGCACTCCAGGCAACAAAATGAGACTTTGTATCTTAAAAAAAAAAAAAAAAAAAGTAACTACATATTTCGTATCATTTACATATGTATACAGAAATCAATTCTGGATACATTAAGGACTTCAGTGTGAATCTTGAAAACTTTTCAGGAGAAAATTTTTAGAAAATACCAGTATGGTCTCCAGGCAGAAATATAAAAGGTCCTATCTATAAAAACTGATAAATTCAACTACATTCAAATTAAGAGTGTCTATTGAAAGTGTGGTGTTGGCATAAGGATAGACATATAGATCACTGGAATAGAACTAGAAATCCAGAAATTAACCCTTACATTTATGGTTGACTGATTTTCAACAAGGGTGCTAAGATAATTAAATGGGGAGACAAAAATATTCTCAACAAATGGTGCTGGGATAGCATGCAAAAGAATGAAGTTGGATCCCAACCTTACCCTATATAAAAAAATTAAAATGAATCATAGATCTAAATGCAAGAACTAAAACTATAAAATTCCTAGAAGAAAACACAGAAGTAAATCTTCTTGAATTTGGATTAGACAATGGTTTCTTAGATATTACAAAAGCACAGATGACAAAACAAAAAAAATAGATAAATTAAACATCAAAATTAAAAATTTTGTGCTGCAAGTGATACTATCAAGAATGAAAGACAGGCCAGGCATGGTGTAACCCCAGCACTTTGGGAGGCCGAGGTGGGCAGATCACCTGAGGTCAGAAGTTCGAGACCACCTGACCAACATGGTAAAACCTTGTTTCTACTAAAAATACAAAAATTAGCCAGGTGTGGTGGTGCATGCCTGTATTCTCAGCTGCTCAGGAGACTGAGGAATGAGAATCACTTGAACCCAGGAGGCAGAGGTTGCAGTGAGCCAAGATCACGCCACTGCACTCCAGCCTGGGCGACCAAGCGAGACTCCATCTCAAAAAAGAAAAAAAAAAGAAAAGAAAAGAAAAGAAAAGACAATCCATAGAATAGGAGAAAATATTTCTGAAAATGTATCTGATAAGGGACTTGTATCCAGAATATATAAATAACTCATACGAGAATAAAAAGACAACCCAAATAGATAATAGGCAAAGGATTTAAATAGGCATTTCTTCAAAGAAAATATACAAATGGCCAGTAAGCACATGAAAAGATGTTCAACATTATCAGTTATTAGAGAAATGCAAAACAAAACCACCATGAAATAACTACTTCACTTCCAACAGGATGACAGTGATTAAAAAACAAACAAAACCCAGAAAGTAGCATGTGTTAGAGCAAGGATTTAGAGGAACTGGAATCCTAATACATTCCTTGTGATAATGTAAAATGGTGCAGTCTCTATGAAAAACAGTTGAGCAGTCTCTCAAAAGTTAAACTATATTACCTAGCAATCCCACTCCTTGGTATATAACCAAGAGTGAAGAAAACATACATCCACACAAAAGTTTATGCGCTTTTGTGTTCATAGAAAAGTTCATAGAAGATTTATAATAGCCCCAAAGTAGAAATAACCCAAATGTCCATCAACTGATGAGTGGATGTTCTATATTCCTACACTGGAATATTATATGGCAGTAAAAATGAATAAAGTTGGGAGGCTGAAGTGGGAGGATCACCTGAGCCTAGAAGTTAGAGGCTGCAGTGAGCTATGATCACACCACTGCACCCCAGCGTGGGCAGCAGAGCAAGACCCTATGTCAAAAAAAAAAATGGACTGATGGTTAAAGAGAGGGATGTATGGAAGGATAAATGGTGATCAAGTAAATATAGTAAAATGTTATTGGTAGAATCTATGTGGTGGGTGTACAAGTGTTGATTATACAGTTCTTGCAACTTTTCTGTTTGAAATTTTGCAAAACAAAGTGTTGGTAAAAAAACACTGATAAGAGAAGATCTGCCCTACTATAGAAAACATACTTTCCAACTGCAATAATCATATCACCATGGTTTAGGTGCAACACTAGACAAAACTGGCATATGATGATGAAGTCCCAGACCTGCAAGAGGTTAATACACTAGAAGAAAAAAATTCAAACCCAATAGAAATTCTAGCAAAGATACACTCATTCAATAATGAGATACTGTTTTCAATTCTCAACACAATTTAAAATGCTATTAAATCCTGGTTCTGGTATATGGTGAGACTAGTGGCTGGCTTTGAGTCCATTTACTATGGCTGTGTGACAAGGCAAATTCTGCGTCAATGTCTCAGCTGCCACACCTACAAAATCAAGGGAGGGACCTCAAACCAGCTGAGGTTCAGGGTGACAGGTCAAGGGACAAGCAGAGCTCAATTACACATGTAGGTGTATGGCCCAGGAGCTCCATGCACAGTAAGTAGCTAGTATTATTTGTGGTTATCTCTGCAACAGAATTACGCTTATTTTAAAATTTCTTTTAGATGCTTTTTTTTCCTATTGGATTTTCTACAATGAGCATGAACTATCTTGGTAACCAGGAAAAAAAAGTCATGAATTATTTTAACAGCCAAACGGTGATGATTTGGGATTATGTCCTCTAATCTCTAACAGCGGACGGCTGGCTCCATGCCTTCCTAGCTGTACAGTTGTGTGTTTCTAGGCCTCAGTTTCCTTGTCTGTACCATAGGGGTTTGGTAAATCATCTCTAAGACCCCATCTGACAGTGACAGTCTAGGATTCTATGGCTATAACATTTTCTTTCATATGGGTGACTGAATCCTTCTCAACTCAATGTGAGAACTCGCGCACTGACACCTTTCTGAATCAAACTTTGAAAAATGTGGAAAAAGAACACGAGTATCTATGGCCACATTTCCCATGAGAGTAAGAACTAAATCAAGCCAAGGGCCATTTTAAAAACTTTAAACTCTATGCAATTCACAGGGAGACACTCCTGGAATGCAGCTCCTGCTGCTGTGGCTAGCTGGGCACTCCACCCCAGCTCCCCTGCAGTGCGCCACTGCCCAGCCCTGAGACCAGGGTCACCTCCCCTTCCTTCTGTGGAAATCCATCTAGTCCATTGAGAATGCCAGCATGTTTCGGAGGCCCCTGAGAAGTTAATACCCCGCAAGGAAACTCTGCTGTCTTCAAGGAGATCGTGACCGTGATCACAGAAAGAGCCTGGCATTTCCAATTAAGAATGAGTCCAAACAATGATTCCAACTGTGAGCGGCTATCTGCAGCCACTTAAATTACCTGCTTTGCACAATACAAGCAGCAGCTCCTGCCAGCATTTGGAAGGCCAAGGCAGGAGGAGCACTTGAGGCCAAGAGTTCAAAACCAGCCTGGGCAACATAGCAAAACCCCATCTTTACAGGAAAAAAAAAAATTAGCCAGGTGTGGTGGCACATGCCTGTAGTCCCAGCTACTTGGGAGGCTGAGGTGGGAGGATCGCTTGAGATGGGGAGGTCGAGGCTGCAGTGAGCCATGATCATGCCACTGCACTCCAGGCAACAAAACGAGACTTTGTATCTTAAAAAAAAAAAGAAAGAAAAGAAAAAAGAAAAAGAAAATTAACTGCATAGTTCATATCATTTACATATATATACAGAAATCAATTCTGGATACATTAAGGACTTCAGTGTGAATCTTGAAAACTGAGCTGGTAAGAAGGGGGCAAGGGCAGAAGGGCAGAGAGGGATGGTGGGAGTGAAGTAGGCACAACAAAGATGAAGGCTCATACTGGAAAAAGTGCCCAGAATGTCCCAGGACAGTGAGATGCTTCCTGGTCACTTGTTCTGCTTGGCCAAAGCAGGCAAAGAGGAGCAGGAGGAGAAAGGTCAGATCATCACCAGAAAGAGCTACCAGGGGTCAGGGTGAGGTCAAAGTAGGCACAGAAACAGCCATGGGAGAAGGCAATTAACTTTGGGCCAAGGAGATCAGAGAGGGTGGTTAACAGGTTCTCCTGTGGTGCTGACTTTGAGTGCTGATCACAGCAGCAGGATGGGGGCTGTTGGTGGCCATAAGTGGCCTCCCATCAGACTCTCACCCATGCCTGGATTGGGACCTCTGCATCTGGAATGTCCCTTGGGAAAGCTAAAGAGTGGATTCAGTACAGTCAAGTGAGCCACCTCCCACTAGATAACTCCAGAGAACAGGGGCAGTGCCAGCATCACCCCCAATTCAGAAGGGCCCTACCCTTGATTTAATTCTCAGCTGTCTTGAAATTCTTAATAATTTTTGCAAGGGGCCCTATATTTTCATTTTGCATTTGCCCCACAAGTCAAGAAGCAGGTTTTGCTAGGGGATGACAGTTCCAGGGACCACTTCTCTGAACCCCAACCACCAAGGACAGTGGATCGGTGCCAGGGTCCCAAGAAGTCCTGTCTGGCTTGGGTTCCAGCCACGTACAACATAAACCAACTTCGTTTAGAATGCCTTCCGTTGGTTTTCCACACAATGGCAGGAGACAGTGCAGCTGACGAGCCATCAAAGAGCAACAACAAATAATAACTGAACTAGTAAGGACACTTCATGCTTTTTGGTTAGTCAATTGCAAGTGAAAACAAGGCACATTATACTGGCCAAAGAATAATCTCTCAGAATGATGGAAGTCTAATGTAGGGAAGCTTACAGCAAGGTGTTGTCCACACCCGCCCCAAGCATCATGAACCAGAACGTTCTTGCCAAGGGTGATGGGGCTGCTAGAGGGAAGCATTCACACCCTTTGACTCAGCGATTGCATTCTTGGCAATGTGTCCCGGAAAGAAACACAAAGGAAAAACTTTACATGCCAAAGATGCTCAGGCAGCAGTTGGCTACAGTGATCTGGGAAGAACCTAAATGTCTAACAGAAGGAAAAGGCATTCCACAGCCTTCCAACGAATAAACACAAAGCCTGCGATAACGTGGGAAAGTGTTTATGATGTACAGCCATGTGAAAATGACATTTTTTTTTTTTGGATCTCAATGATATTAAAAGGATGTTTGTATAAAGGAAAAACATTGACCAAAAATAGAGACCTAAAAACAGTGGCAAAGGGATAATGGCGCTATGGAAACGCCATGCT